>NT_167247.2:1286635-1557367 GCF_000001405.40 Homo sapiens
GGCCGTCATGGCGCCCCGAACCCTCGTCCTGCTACTCTCGGGGGCTCTGGCCCTGACCCAGACCTGGGCGGGTGAGTGCGGGGTCGGGAGGGAAACGGCCTCTGTGGGGAGAAGCAACGGGCCCGCCTGGCGGGGGCGCAGGACCCGGGAAGCCGCGCCGGGAGGAGGGTCGGGCGGGTCTCAGCCACTCCTCGTCCCCAGGCTCTCACTCCATGAGGTATTTCTTCACATCCGTGTCCCGGCCCGGCCGCGGGGAGCCCCGCTTCATCGCAGTGGGCTACGTGGACGACACGCAGTTCGTGCGGTTCGACAGCGACGCCGCGAGCCAGAGGATGGAGCCGCGGGCGCCGTGGATAGAGCAGGAGGGTCCGGAGTATTGGGACGGGGAGACACGGAAAGTGAAGGCCCACTCACAGACTCACCGAGTGGACCTGGGGACCCTGCGCGGCTACTACAACCAGAGCGAGGCCGGTGAGTGACCCCGGCCCGGGGCGCAGGTCACGACCTCTCATCCCCCACGGACGGGCCAGGTCGCCCACAGTCTCCGGGTCCGAGATCCGCCCCGAAGCCGCGGGACCCCGAGACCCTTGCCCCGGGAGAGGCCCAGGCGCCTTTACCCGGTTTCATTTTCAGTTTAGGCCAAAAATCCCCCCAGGTTGGTCGGGGCGGGGCGGGGCTCGGGGGACCGGGCTGACCGCGGGGTCCGGGCCAGGTTCTCACACCGTCCAGAGGATGTATGGCTGCGACGTGGGGTCGGACTGGCGCTTCCTCCGCGGGTACCACCAGTACGCCTACGACGGCAAGGATTACATCGCCCTGAAAGAGGACCTGCGCTCTTGGACCGCGGCGGACATGGCAGCTCAGACCACCAAGCACAAGTGGGAGGCGGCCCATGTGGCGGAGCAGTTGAGAGCCTACCTGGAGGGCACGTGCGTGGAGTGGCTCCGCAGATACCTGGAGAACGGGAAGGAGACGCTGCAGCGCACGGGTACCAGGGGCCACGGGGCGCCTCCCTGATCGCCTGTAGATCTCCCGGGCTGGCCTCCCACAAGGAGGGGAGACAATTGGGACCAACACTAGAATATCGCCCTCCCTCTGGTCCTGAGGGAGAGGAATCCTCCTGGGTTTCCAGATCCTGTACCAGAGAGTGACTCTGAGGTTCCGCCCTGCTCTCTGACACAATTAAGGGATAAAATCTCTGAAGGAATGACGGGAAGACGATCCCTCGAATACTGATGAGTGGTTCCCTTTGACACACACAGGCAGCAGCCTTGGGCCCGTGACTTTTCCTCTCAGGCCTTGTTCTCTGCTTCACACTCAATGTGTGTGGGGGTCTGAGTCCAGCACTTCTGAGTCCTTCAGCCTCCACTCAGGTCAGGACCAGAAGTCGCTGTTCCCTCTTCAGGGACTAGAATTTTCCACGGAATAGGAGATTATCCCAGGTGCCTGTGTCCAGGCTGGTGTCTGGGTTCTGTGCTCCCTTCCCCATCCCAGGTGTCCTGTCCATTCTCAAGATAGCCACATGTGTGCTGGAGGAGTGTCCCATGACAGATGCAAAATGCCTGAATGATCTGACTCTTCCTGACAGACGCCCCCAAAACGCATATGACTCACCACGCTGTCTCTGACCATGAAGCCACCCTGAGGTGCTGGGCCCTGAGCTTCTACCCTGCGGAGATCACACTGACCTGGCAGCGGGATGGGGAGGACCAGACCCAGGACACGGAGCTCGTGGAGACCAGGCCTGCAGGGGATGGAACCTTCCAGAAGTGGGCGGCTGTGGTGGTGCCTTCTGGACAGGAGCAGAGATACACCTGCCATGTGCAGCATGAGGGTTTGCCCAAGCCCCTCACCCTGAGATGGGGTAAGGAGGGAGACGGGGGTGTCATGTCTTTTAGGGAAAGCAGGAGCCTCTCTGACCTTTAGCAGGGTCAGGGCCCCTCACCTTCCCCTCTTTTCCCAGAGCCGTCTTCCCAGCCCACCATCCCCATCGTGGGCATCATTGCTGGCCTGGTTCTCTTTGGAGCTGTGATCACTGGAGCTGTGGTCGCTGCTGTGATGTGGAGGAGGAAGAGCTCAGGTGGGGAAGGGGTGAAGGGTGGGTCTGAGATTTCTTGTCTCACTGAGGGTTCCAAGACCCAGGTAGAAGTGTGCCCTGCCTCGTTACTGGGAAGCACCACCCACAATTATGGGCCTACCCAGCCTGGGCCCTGTGTGCCAGCACTTACTCTTTTGTAAAGCACCTGTTAAAATGAAGGACAGATTTATCACCTTGATTACAGCGGTGATGGGACCTGATCCCAGCAGTCACAAGTCACAGGGGAAGGTCCCTGAGGACCTTCAGGAGGGCGGTTGGTCCAGGACCCACACCTGCTTTCTTCATGTTTCCTGATCCCGCCCTGGGTCTGCAGTCACACATTTCTGGAAACTTCTCTGAGGTCCAAGACTTGGAGGTTCCTCTAGGACCTTAAGGCCCTGACTCCTTTCTGGTATCTCACAGGACATTTTCTTCCCACAGATAGAAAAGGAGGGAGCTACTCTCAGGCTGCAAGTAAGTATGAAGGAGGCTGATGCCTGAGGTCCTTGGGATATTGTGTTTGGGAGCCCATGGGGGAGCTCACCCACCCCACAATTCCTCCTCTAGCCACATCTTCTGTGGGATCTGACCAGGTTCTGTTTTTGTTCTACCCCAGGCAGTGACAGTGCCCAGGGCTCTGATGTGTCTCTCACAGCTTGTAAAGGTGAGAGCCTGGAGGGCCTGATGTGTGTTGGGTGTTGGGCGGAACAGTGGACACAGCTGTGCTATGGGGTTTCTTTCCATTGGATGTATTGAGCATGCGATGGGCTGTTTAAAGTGTGACCCCTCACTGTGACAGATACGAATTTGTTCATGAATATTTTTTTCTATAGTGTGAGACAGCTGCCTTGTGTGGGACTGAGAGGCAAGAGTTGTTCCTGCCCTTCCCTTTGTGACTTGAAGAACCCTGACTTTGTTTCTGCAAAGGCACCTGCATGTGTCTGTGTTCGTGTAGGCATAATGTGAGGAGGTGGGGAGACCACCCCACCCCCATGTCCACCATGACCCTCTTCCCACGCTGACCTGTGCTCCCTCCCCAATCATCTTTCCTGTTCCAGAGAGGTGGGGCTGAGGTGTCTCCATCTCTGTCTCAACTTCATGGTGCACTGAGCTGTAACTTCTTCCTTCCCTATTAAAATTAGAACCTGAGTATAAATTTACTTTCTCAAATTCTTGCCATGAGAGGTTGATGAGTTAATTAAAGGAGAAGATTCCTAAAATTTGAGAGACAAAATAAATGGAACACATGAGAACCTTCCAGAGTCCACGTGTTGCTTATGCTGATTTGTTGCAGGGGAGGAGAGTAGATGGGGCTGTGCCCAGTTTCTGTTCCGGCCACTATGGGCTTTATGTGGTCACTGCTTGGCTGGGTCATCTTTGCTGCTCCATTGTCCTTGGCCCTTCAGTAGAACCTTGTCCCACTAAGACCTGTGATCACAGGGAGTTGGATGTCACCTAGGGTGGTCCCTGCATACAAATCTCCTTGCGGTATCAAGAGACAAATTTTCAGACCTGTCTAGGTCTTGCCTTCCTCCCAGGGCTTTTTCCTCAATTGTATTTTCAATTTTTCTCCAATCTTTTTAAAGGAACCAGATTGTGACATTTGCAGAGAGGAGTGGTCCCATAGTTTCTCATCATGATTAACTTTCTGTTGGAACTCCTGTTCTGCCCTCCTACTCTTCTTCCTGCTCTGAATTGTAGTAATCCTAGTGCTGGCTCCAATCCAAACTCATAGATTTATAAAGCAGAGTCTAATTTAGATTCATATGTGGTTGGAAAATTGTACCCATAAGGCTAGGGTTATTGTTCCTGAAGAGAAATATATGGTTTTGTGCTGAAGTGTGCAGGAGGGTTGGTGTGGGAGGAGGGAGGACACACAAGCAGCCCTGGTGAGAAAAGCACTGGCGGCGTGGATGTCCATGTGAACTTATGTTCTTTAGCTGCCACAAAACAGCATTTGCCCTGTGGCTACATTAATAAAGGTATGGGCTTTAGAATAGGGAGATGCTCTACAGTGGTCATTCATTCAACTGACATTTGTTGTCTGCTAGGGATATGACTGCTTTTGCATTTAGAAAGCATCCTTAAAGTAAAAACAGAAAAATTTCTGGGGTTATGGTGCATACGTTCTAGATGCAGGCTTGTCCAACCCGCGGCTCGTGGGCTGCATGTGGCCCAGGACAATTTTGAATGTGAGGACTTTTTTGCTTATCTGTGGTGAACCTGAGTCCTGGAGTGAGTGCACCCACCTCCCTCAGGGTCAGGAGTGAATGCTTTAGGAACCCTCCTTTTCAGTGACCTGCAAAAGATAAAGGGCACATTTACTGTGATAACCCAGAGTATCAGCCAAGGGGGCTTGACCTTCAAGGAGTTGTGGGGAAGGTTAATAAAGGGTGGTGTCCCAGGGTCAGAAAAGATGGGCAGACAGCAAGGTCACTGCTTGATATCTATGATAAGCATGTGGAATTGAGGAGCAAGCTTCAGATTCAGAATCCAGTGACTAAGGACATATCTATATCCCTAAGAGAAAGAACCTTGGGACACGATGATGGTTACATGCTGGGACAATTCCATCAGCCCTTCTGCAAAGGAGCCTATAGCCATTTAATCAGGAGATGGGATAAGTATTAACATTGGGTGTGAGCTGACATTGCTGCCCAGATTCCCACAGCACCATTATGTCCCCCATCACACTGGGGCTTACAGAGGCCAGGGAATAAACCTAGACAAATTATGCCCCATGGTGGAATCACCAGTTCCATAAATCCTGTCCTGGTTATCTCCCCATTCTCTGAGTGCATAATTGGCCTTGATGCACTGGCAACTGGAGTCACCCCACACTGTGTCCCTAGTCTGGAGAGTAAGGGATCTCATTGTGCTGAAGCCCAAAGGGAAACATCCCTCATACAAGCCAAACCAGAAGCAATATTGTGCCCCAGGGTGGGTCTTGTGGAGGGTACTGCAGGTATTATAGGGGTGGCACTGCCATTACAGACCTGAACGATGCGGGGTGTTGTTGGGATTGCCTGTTATCTCCATATAACTCAGCAATCTGTACCTGCAGAAGCCTGATATGGCTAAAGAATGAATGGAATTACTCCAGACTTGACCAAGTAGGAGTCCTGATTGCAGCTGCCATGCTGGCTGGATATCACTGCCTGGGGAGATTAATAAGGCCTCAGGCACATGGCAAGCAGCTGTGGATTTGGTGAGTGCATTCCCTCCCATTTCATTTAGAAGATGGATATGGAATGATTCACATTCACATGGGATTTATAATACATTTATTGATAGCTTGCATCAGGGCTACCTTAACTCCTCAACCTTCTATAAATATCACCTTAAGAGACCTGGACAAATCAGACATCCCAATGAATACTAAATCTCTTCATTTCATTGGCAATATCACATAAATTGGGAAGGATGAACAACAGCAGGAAAGTACGCTGAATTCCCTGGCAAAACATGTGCACTACAGAAGGTGAAGATAAACCTTACAGAGCTTCAAGAGTGGCCACTGCAGTGAAGTGTTATGGGTCCAGTGGTTAGGGGCATGCAGAGCTCCCCGCCCCCCCCCCACCACAAAGTAAAAGACAAACTTGCATCTTGCATCCTCACCAGAAGGAAGGAAGCACACTACTTGATGAGCCTCTCTGGGTTCTGGCAACACCACATTCCACATCTAAGTTTATTGCTTTGGCTGACACTCTGGGTGATATAGGAGGAGGCCAGCTTTGAGTGGGGCCTGGACTGGAAAGGACACTGCAGCAGACCCAGGCTGTGGTGCAGTCAGTCACCATCCCTCAGACCCCTGGTGCTGGAGGTGGCGGTCTGGGGAAAGAAGCAGGATGGAGCTCAACCAAGCATCAGTGGGAAAGTCAGAATGCAGGGCCTGGGATCAGGAGTAAGGCCATGGAGTCCACAGCAGAGAAACATGCTCCATGTTAGAAGCAACTTTTAGCATGTTACTGGCCCTGATAAGATAGAATGCTTGCGCATAGGACACCAAGCAACCATGTGATTCCAAGTGCCCGTGTGTATTGGCTTCTATGTGACCCATAGAGTCATTCATTGGACAGGCCCAGCGGCATCTATCATGAGACGAAAATGGTCCATGTCGGTTGAGCCTCAATTCCATGTTAACACCCACAGAAAACACCCAGTCCTGATGTGGCCCTGAATAATCAAACAAATTGAAGACAAATTGAAGTTAGCCAGTCTGCATCATGGATCAGCCCAGGCCTGATAGGAAGAACCCATGAGTGGAGCAACCACAGTGGCAAGAATGAGGCTACAAATGAGTCCAGCAGCACTGTCTCTCCACTACCAAGGCCCACCCAGCTACTGCTTCCTCTGAATACTCTGCTCATGAGCATTGCAGACCAATGATAGGCACTGATAGGGCACCATTTCTTAAAGTAACTGACTAGCCCCTAAGTGACAAGTTGAATAGCTTGAACACCATCCATCCTGGAAGGGGCAGAAGTTTATCCTCACAGGGATAGGCTCACAGGGATTCGATGTGGTGTGGTTTTCCTCTCTGCTCTCAGACCCTCAGTCAACACTACTATTGGCATTCCTGATCCACTGGCTCAGAATTTCAGTACATTATCTGCCTGGGGGACACACCTCTTGGAGAAGAGGATGAAGTGTGGGTCCTGACCATGGGATCCCCTGGTCGTATCACCACCTGCGCCTCTCAAGTGCTGCCAGGCACACAGAGTCATGGACAGGACTCTACAGGCACAACTCAGTACCAGCTTGGATGAAATCCTCTGAGGAATGGGTGCCATCTTTCAGGATGTGATGCATGTATTGAATCAAAGACGTCTCTAAGGCACTGTTTTCAGAAGGAAGAATACGTGGGTCCAAAAACCAAGAAGTCAAAGCAGGTGTGTCTCATTCCTTATATTCACCCCCAGGGTGATTTACTTATAAGTAAATAAATAAATACATAAATAACATCAATACATAAATAAATTTATGCATGTATGTATGTACGTATGTATGTATGTATTTTATTCATTATATTCACCCCCAGGGTGATTTTGCTCCTCTTACTTCCAAAATCTGGACTCTGCAGGGTAGGAGGTCCTGGTTTCCCAAAGAGGACACCCTCGCAAGGAGACAAATGAGAGTCCATGGAACTACACATTGTGGTTGCACCCAGGGATATTTGAATAGTATGTGCCCAGAGACAAGCAGGTGAGAAGAGGAGGAGGCAGGGCTGCTATCACACAATGAGGGCAGGAGAAGTGTGTGTGGAAACCAGGAATCCACTTGGGGACATCCTGGTTTCCCTTGTCCGTTGTGTGAGCAGAATCATCCAGCAACCCAGCCTGAGAGGGTTTGATATTCAAGAGCCCAGAACCCTCAGGAAGGAAGGATTGAGTGATACTCCTAGGTAATGTCCCAAGTCTCTGCTTCTGTGCTCTGACATCCTCAGCAGGATTAGTGCAGAAGCCCTGCTTCCATGAGTTGTTCCCAGCCAGTGACTGGTCACAGCAAGCACACTAAGGCAGGCCATTACTGGGAGACATGGGACTCCTCTGATGGCCAAATGTGGCTCCAGGACTCCTCCATGCCCTTCCTCAACTCTCCTTAGACTGCCTCTGCTCTAGGATGCGTCGAACAGACCTTGTCTCCTTCTGTCCAGCACTTGGGGTCACACTTGCATCATTGTCTGCCGCCTTTTCCAGGGATTTCTGGCTCGCTTCTCATATTCCCTTACAGGTGTGTCCCCTCATAAGATGCCGTAGACTTTAAGCTCATCTTGGCATCTGCTCCTCGGAGGACTTGGACTAAAAAGCATTGCCATGTGCACACCAATAACTCTTACTTATTCCAACCTGTAAAATCCATCTCTTTATCCAACTTCTGCCACCCCCATAAAATCTATTTTGTGCGCGTTTGTAGTATCTCTTTGAAATTAACAGATATTTGTTGTATTAAGCCACTAAATTTTGAGGTAGTTTGTGACACAGCAGTTAATAACTATTAAGGCTTTCTTAAGTTTCTGTTATTCCATGGATGTTATCTACATCTTTTAATTCCCTGCATTTTAATAATATTAGCCACACTTGCTGTTTCTAATCCTTTCCTCCTATTCTTTTTTGAAAATGTTCATTTTGTCTTTCTCTGTCCTTCCATCTTTCTTTCCTCCTTTCCTCCCTCAGAGCTTTCTCCCTCCCTCCACTTTTTCACAAACTCTATGTGGTTAGGCTAAAAAGAAGCATTATTTGAATCTTATGCTTAAAGTATAATGCCATAATTTACAGGATAAAAGTAAAGAAAAGGAAGTTATTAATGGAATATGAAAAAATGCCTAGGGTGATTCTGTAGCCAAGACAGTGGTTTTTTAACATGTAATCTCCACCTTCAACTGAGTGTTTTCAGAACACATGAGCAACATAAGTTCTTTCCCATTCTTGGTACAAGCACTTGGGAAATCAAATTAGCCTTATCTTGTATGATTAAGGTCCATACACTGTATAATCCCACCACCTGCTCCTGATCATACACTCTGGGGATATTTTTGGCTATGTGTCCCAGAGACGTGTACACCAATGTTTATGGCAAAAAAACTGGAAACAATCACATATGCATCAATGGGAATTAACAAAATTGTGATATAATCCCTAAAAGTAAAATTTTAGCAGTAAAAATGATTGAACAGCACCTTCCCACATCAGAGATAACTCTCCTACACATAACGTGCATCACAGGAGAATACATATAGTGTGAGTTCGCTGTACAGGGAAGTTAAAAAAACAGGTCAGACTGTGATTTGGGTATATATATTTATTGTAAAAATCTTTAGAGACAGTGCAAAGGACTAGTAAATACAAGACTCAAGATAGAGGTTCCTTTTGGTGGATAGGATTGGGCAACAGTCTAGGGTGGCTTCATAGGTTCTGTTTCTTATGCCAGGAGAGGATGTCCAGGTAATTAGTTACTTGATCATAAATCTTTATTTATTTATTTATTCATTTATTTTTGAGATGGAGTCTCACTCTTGTTGCCCAAGCGGGAGTGCAGTGGTGTGATCTTGTCTCACTGCAACCTCCGCCTCCCATGTTCAAGCGATTCTCCTACCTCAGCCTCTGAGTAGCTAGGATTACAGGCACCTGCCCTGATGCCCGGCTAATTTTTGTATTTTTCGTACAGACTGTGCTTCACCATGTTGGCCAGGCTGGTCTCCAACTCCTGATCTCAGGTGATCCACCCACTTCGGCCTCCCAAAATGCTGGGATTAGAAGCATGAGCCACCACTCCCGGCCCACAAATATTTATAGTGGCAATTTTCAAAATGCACCTTGTGTGCCATTCCTGATTATTTGGAAATGAAAGAGAAAAGAAAACACAAAAGTTCATTGCAAGGATCCTTAGCGATAAATACATGAGTTAAAACAAAGCCACAGCCAATTGTAAGGAGCCATGTGACAGAGAGTACCAGGATGCCATGAAAAAATAGCCTTGGCTAGAAATAGGTCATTTGATTCTTGGCTAATTGGCAACTCTCTACATTCTCTGGTGTACAATGTTCAATCTGATGTGCAAGGCAATTGTATCTCGCAAATAATTTGAGAATTTGATATGTTGCTCAATTTTACCACAGATACAAGTGAATTAAACTTTTACAGAATAGAAAAAAAGCACTGTCGAGCAAAATAAATTAAATGAAAACACATAAAGGAATAACTAGTGATGAAATAGCAATAAGAATGGAAAACACGAAAGAGTTTCTTTTACAGCAACATTAGAAGCACAAAATAACTGTATTTTTCAGAATCATACTGGAGTCCAACTCACTTCTACTACATCTAATTAAAAAACACAGCGAAAGATGTTAAACTGATCAATGGATGCCCACTGAATACCCAGTTATTGAAAAATCTTGTTCCTAGATTGGAGTTAACCATTTCCGCCTACTACATCAAACCAAATCGTTGTTCGTGATGCTAAGCTAGCTGTACAGACAAAGATGTGAGACACATTTTCTCTAACTGCAAAGCACCGATTAGGCAAATATTTTTGCAGAAGCTTGAGTAAGAAAATTGACATTTTGGGCATTCTTAAACGGAATTAGTAGCTTCTGAGGAAAAAGATAGTTATGATTGTAAAGGCATTATTATACGGCACCAGTCTTGGGACTCTTTGATCTAGCTACTGTATTTTCTCAACTTTCTTGCAACTCATCAAAGAGAACATTAATATTAAAGGCATTTGCAAAAAAATCTGAGATATTGTTGTATCTCCATTCTCTGTCTCAAAGTTTTATTCATCACTTTACAAAAGATAATTTTAAAGTATTAAAGAAAATCAGTCAGATACAAGAAGTATTTGATTTACAAAATCCTGAAACAATAATGTTAATTGTGGTGCCAGCTACTTGGGAGGCTGAAGGAGGAGCATTGATGGCATGAGCCCAGGAGGTTGAGGCTTCAGTAAGTCATGAGCATGCCACTGCATTCCAGCCAGGGCAACAGAGTGATACTTTGTCTAAAAATAACTAACTAACTAACTAACTAACTAAATAAATAAATAAATAAATAATGGAGGCAGTGCATGAGCCCTGGTGAAGGGCACTTTGGCTGCATTGAGCACTTGCAGATTTGAGGTGATTACATTCTGTACGTTACTTAACATGCACACTGTACATACTTAACATGCATATAAATTATTTGATACTCCTCCTTGCAGAGGTGCAGCTTCATTCCCTTCCTGTGAGTGTGGCCTGAACTTAATGATTCGCTTACAGACTGATAGAGTAATGCTGAGATAATAGTTTGTGACTCTGGGTGTAGATCATAAGACTCACTAAGTCTGGGAGCGGTCGCTCACGGCTGTAATCCCAACAGTTTGGGAGGTCAAGAGGGTGGATCATGAAGTCAGAAGTTCGAGACCAGCCTGGCCAAGACGGTGAAACCCCGTCTCTACTAAAAATACAAAAATTAGCCAGGTGTGGTGGTGCATGCCTGTAATCCCAGTTGCTCAGGAGGCTGAGGCAGGAGAATCACTTGAACCTGGAAGTCGGAGGTTGCAGTGAGCCAAGATCCAGCCACTGCATTCCAGCCTGGGTGACAGGGTGAGACTCTGTCTGAAAAAACAAACAAACAAACAAACAAAAACTCACTGCAGCTTCTACTTTGGTTCTGGTTTTCTCTTTCTCTGGGATCATGAGCCTTGGGGGAAGCCAGCTGCTGTGTCATAAGCAGGCCTGTGGAAAGCTCCAAGTGACTAGGAAGTGAGGCCTCCTGGGGCCAGACAATAAGAAGATGAAGCCTCTTCCAACAGCCATGTGGGATATTCTTGTGACTTGTGAATCCCCAGCCCCATTTGAGCCCTCAGATGATAAAGCCCTGGATGACAACTAGACCGCAATTTTGTGAGTGGCCCTGAGCCAGAAGAACTTTGAGAAACCTTTCCTGGATTCCTGACAACTAGAAACTGTGGAACATGACAAATATTTGTTGATTTGAGTTGCTAAGTTTTAAGTGACTTGTTATGCATCAGTAGATAACTAATACACCTTCACAAGAAAGGATGAATCATTGAATTTTTCATTTGCTCTAAATTGATTATAAGATATTAAACATGTCATTTGCTTTTAATATTTAACAAGAATTTTCATGGTTATATAAGATATATTTTATTATCACTAACAATGATCTATTATTTTTACCTTCAATTTGTATGTTCTATTCAAACACAAAAGGAAGATCCAGGCTATGCTAGGGTGATTCTATGATGACACCCCAATAACCACCCTTGGTTACTCACATTACCCCAGTTACTCTGTTGACACTAATGTAAGTGCTGCTGTGAAGGGATTTTGCAGATGTATTCCAGGTCCCCTGTCAGTTGGCTTTAAGATGGGGATTATCCTGCTTGGACGGTCCTAATCAGGTAAGCTCTGAAAAGGACTGGGTTCTTCCTGACAATAGAGACTCACAGTGTGAGAGGGATTCAGCGTGAGGGGCTTCCTCCACTGTGGGCTTTGAAAATGGTGGGATCATGGGGAAAGAACACTGGTGGCCAATAGGAATTAGAAACCCTCCCCACTGTCTACTCTGATAGCCCGAAGGAAACAGGGACCTTAATCCTACAATTGCCAGAAACCGAATTCTGCCAACAAACTCTACATAAGCTTGGGGGAGAACCCCAATCTTAAGATGAGGATACAGCTTTGCGAAACTCTGAACAAAGAGTCTATCACATTAGGCCTGGATTTCTGATGAAGGAAATGCAGACAAATAAATGAGTGTTCTTTTAAGCCACTAAGTTTGTGGTAATTGGTTATGTACTAATAGAAAATTCATAAACAGATTCAACAGCTAGGCATATGACATTTTCTCCAATGGAATGAATTTATGAACTGATATGCATAGTAGTTGCATAAAACCAAATGTTTCCTAACTTGCTTTGCATTTTTCATTTTGTGATTTTTGTGCGATACAATTTTTAACACAATCATATTTCATTCATTCAAGAAAATTAACTTAGTTGTGCCAGATATGCTTTTATATGCTGCAGACACAACTTTGATCAAAACAACCCAAAGCCCCTGTGCTCATGTGCCTTCCATTCTAGACGCTTCTTGAGAGTGAGATGGAGTCATTGGAGTGTTTTAAGTGAAGAAATGACACAATCTGACTCACATTAGCAGGATTTCTGACCATTGTTGGGAGAACAGTCATGGGCAGCAGGTGAGGGGACAGAGCTAGGGCCACAATTCAGTAGTGACAGAGTAGTAGAGACTAAGGGGAGAGGAGGGCCTGATGGGTGACAGGGACAGAGAGAAGGGCTGGAGAAGCAGGAGGTGAGGTAAAGGAACAGAGACAAAGAATTCTAAAGCAATGGAATTCTCAGACTTAAACACAGGGTTTTATAGATTTTTAATCCATTTATCCTCAGAGCCTGGCACAGTGTTACTTGCACCTTGATCTTTAATACATTCTGTGGGGCTGTCTAATAACTAATTGCCTCCTTATGATAAACAGGTTAGAAAAGAAGACCAAGTGTCCCAATAAAATATGCACATAGCTTAGATGTGAATAATTCCTAAATATAGGCAGGTGCATGAGATGGCCATTGCGGCTCATGCCTGTAATACCAGCATTTTGGGAGGCTGAGGCAGGAGGATCACTTGAGCTCAGGAGTTCAAGACTAGCCAGAGCAACATAGGGAGACCTCATTTCTACAAATTTTTTTTTAGAAAAATTAGCCAGGAGTGGTGGTACAAGCCTGTGGTGCCAGATACTTGGAGGCTGAAGGAGGAGCATTGATCGCATGAGCCCAGGAGGTCGAGGCTTCAGTGAGTCATGAACGTGCCACAGCACTCCAGCTAGGGCAACAGAGTGATACTCGGTCTAAAAATAACTAACTAACTAAATAAATAAATAATAAATAAAGGCGGTGCATGAGCACTGGTGACGGGCACTTTGGCTGCATTGAGCACTTGCAAATTTGAGGTGATTAAATTCTGTACAGGCTCCTGGTTGCAATATACGGTAACACATTGTGCTTTGTATTGAGATGTCCTGGACTCGCGCACACAAACTCAGGGCTATAAGATAAAGATAATTTAAAAATACAACAGACCAGAGTCACAGATACACAGTCTGGGAAAGTAAAACTTAACTTTGTGAGTCTAACTGCAATGCGTTTAGACACATTTATATATAATGGGGCCAAAAATCACCTCTTTTACAAATTAGATTCGTGACCATTCAGGGGCTACCAAGATTGTGCTAGGCACTGTACTGCGCTACCCACTGTTACTAAGATTGTGCTACTCCGCTGCGGGACCAGCGGAAATCCTCCACCCAATAAAAGCCCCAGGCGCCTATACCGGATTCCATTTTCAGTTCAGGCCCAAATCCCTGGGGGGTTGGTGGAGGCTGAGGCGGGGCTCAGCGGCCTGGGCTGACCGCGGTCGCTGGGAATGGGTCTCACACCCTCCAGTGGGTACACAGCTGCGACGTGGACTCGGACTGCAGTCTCCTCAGTGGGTATGAACATACCCTATCACGGCGCCAGTTACCTCGTCCGAAACCAGGAACTGCGCTCTTGGACTGCAGCGGACAAGGCGGCTCAGATGCCCTGGCGGAGGAACAGGCAGAGCTGCTCAAAACCTACCTGCAGGGAAGGTGGGCGGAGTGGCTCAGCAAAGTCCTTAAGAATGGGAAGGAGAGGCTGCAGTGCCCAGGTACCAGTGGCCACGGGGTGCCTCCCTGATCTCCTGCAGATCTCCTTGAGTCACATTCCAAAAGAAGGGAAGGAAAATGGGACCAACGCTAAAACATCCCTCTCCCTCTTGTGAGGAGGAAGAGTCCTCCCGGGTTTTCAGATCCTATACTAGAGAGTGACTGAGGGCCTGCCCTGCACTCTGGGACAGTTAAAGGATGAAGTCTCTGAGGGAAAGGAGGGGAAGACAATCCCTGAAATACTGATCCGCGGTCCCATTTGTCCCCACAGCAGCCTTGGGCACCAGGAATTTTCCTCTCAGGCCTTGTTCTCTGCCTCACACTCAATGTGTATTTGTGGGTCTGATTCCAGCTTTTTTGACCTCGGCCTCCGCTCAGGTCAGGACCAGAAATCTCTGTTCCGGCCTCAGACACTAAAACTTTCTAAGGAATAGAAGATTGCCCCAGGTGCCTGTGTCTAGACTGGTGTCTGAGTTGCTCCCTTCCCCACTTCAGATGTCCCGTCAATTTTCAGGATGGTCCCATGAGGTGGAATGTCCCATGAGGAATGCAAAGTGCCTGAATTTTCTGACTCTTCCCCTCAGAACCCCAAAAGACTCACATGACCCACCACCCCATCTCTGACCATGAGGCCACCCTGAGGTGCTGGGCTCTGGGCTTCTACCCTGTGGAGATCACACTGACCCAGTAGTGGGATGGACAGGACCAAATGTAGGATGCAGAGGTTGTGGAGACCACACCTGCAGGGTACAGAACCTTCCAGAAGTGGGCAGCTGTGGTGGTGTCTTCTGGAGAGGAGCAGAGATACACATGCCATGTGCAGCACGATGGGCTGCCAGAGCCCCTCACCCTGAGATGGGTAAGGAAGGGGATGAGGGGTCATGTCTCTTCTCACGGGAACTAGGAGCCCTTCTGGAGCCCTTCAGCAAGGTCAGGGTTTGAGGCCTGATGGTCAGGGCCCCTCACGTTCCCCTCCTTTCTTACAGCTGTCTTCCCAGCCCACCATCCCCATCATGGGCATCGTTACTGTCCTGGTTGTTCTTGGTGCTGTTTTCACCAGAGCTGTGGTCACTGCTGTGATGTGGAAGAATAAGAGCCCAGGTAGGAAAGGGGTGAGCTCCGAGTTTTCTTCTTCCATTGGTGGATTCCCAGCCCCAGATGGGAGTTGGCTTGTATCCTGCCTAGTCATGAGGCACCATCTCTGTCTATCAACACTTACTCTTTTGTAAAGAACTTGTGAAAATGAAGGACAAATTTATCACCTTCATTGGAGTCATGGGAACCTGACTCCCAGCAGTCACAGGTCAGGGGAAGGTACCCGCAGAGGACAGACCTCACTAGGTCAATTAGTCCAGTTTCAACACATCCTCTTACCTAGGGTTTCCTGATTCTGACCTGGGTCTGCAGTCACAGTTCTGGACACTCCTCTGGGATCTCATGACCCTGCTTCCTCCCTGGCCTTTCACAGTTTATTTTCTTTCCACAGATGGAAAAGGAGGCAGCTATGCTCAGGCTTCATGCAAGTGTGGTAGGGGTGGGAAGAGTGATCCCTGAGATCCTTGGGATAGTGTAGACAGGAGCCCATGGGGGAGCTCACCACCCCAAAATTCCTCCTTTAGTCACATCATCTGTGGGCTCTGACCAGATTTTGTTTTTGTTCCACCCGAAACAGCTCTGATGTGTCTCTCAAGGCTTGTAAAATGACAACTTAGGGGGCCTGAAGGGAAGGAGGAGTTGGGGCATAGGGGACACAACTAGGCTCTGGAGATTCTTTGATTTGGAATTTTTCAGGGTGTGGTGGGCTGTTCAGTGTCACAACTTACTATGACTGATCTGAATTTGTTCATGACTATTTTTTTTCTAAGACTGCCTTGTGAGGGACTGAGATGCAAGATTTGTTCATGCCTCCCCTTTGTGACTTCAAGGGCCTCTGTCTTCTCTTTCTGCCAAGGCGTCTGAATGTGTCTACATCCCTGGTATCATGTGAGAAGTGGGGAGACCAGCCCACCCTCATGTCCACCATGACCCCTGATATTGTTTGGATCTGTGTCTCCACCCAAATCTCATGTTCACTTGTAATCACTAAGGTTGGAGGTGGCACCTCAGGGAGGTGATTGGCTCATGAGGATGGATCCTTCATGAATAGTTTAGGACCATCTCTTTGGTGCTGTTCTTGTGATAGTTCTCACAACGTCTGGTGTTTAAAAGTGTGTGGTACCTCCCTGCTCTCTCTCCCTCCTACTCCAGGCTTGTAAGTCATGCCTACTTCCCCTTAACCTTCCAGCATGATTGAAAATTTCCTGAGGTCCTCTCATAAGTTGAGCAGATGCCAGAATCATACTTTCATATAGCCTGCAGAACCATGAGCCAATTTAAACCTTCTGTCTTTATAAATTACCCAGTCTCAGGTATTTCTTTATAACAGTTGAGAATGAATAATTCAGAAAATCGGTACCAGAAGTTGGGTACTGCAATAAACGTAGCTGAAAATGTGAAAATGTCTTTGGAACTGGGTAACAGGTAGAGGTTGGAAGAGTTTGGAGAGTTTAGAAGACAAGAAAATGGGGGAAAACTTGCAACTTCCTAGAGGTTTGTTAAATTGTTGTGACCAAAATGCTGATAGTGATATAGACAATAGAGCCCAGGCTGATGAGGTCTCAGATGGAGATGAGGAACTTACTGGGACCTAGAGAAAAGGTCACTTTTGTTATGCATTGGCAAAGAACTTGGAGGCATTCTGCCCCCTCCTTAGGGATCTGTGGAACTTTGAACATGAGGGTGATGATTAAGGGTATCTGATAGAAGAAATTTCTAAGCAGCATAGCATTCAAGATTTGGCTTCCTGTTGTAATAGTCTATGCACATATGTGTGAGCAAAAAAATGATCTGAAACTGGAACTGATATTTAAAGGGGAAATTTAATATCCAGGACAATTCCCAGTGGAGCTGCAGGAGCAGGACCCCTACCAGGACTACTAAATGGTGGAGCCACTGGCAATGTGCAAGCTCAGCTTGGAAAATCCATAGGTATTCAATTTTCACCCATGAGAGCAGCTATATGGGTTATGTTCAGCAAACCCAAGGATGTGGGGCTGCAAATGGCATTGTGAGCCCACCACTTGAACCAGTGTGCTCAGGATTCAAGATATAGGGTCAAAGGAGATTATTTTAGAGCTTTAAATTTTAACATCTTCCATGATGAGTTTCAGCTTTGTGAGGACACTGCATTCATTTCTTTTGGCCCATTTATTCCTTTTAGAATGGAAATGTATAAGAAATGTCTCTTCCACTGTTGTATTAATATTTTAGAAGTAAATAACCTTTTTAAAACTTTACAGGCTCACAGCTATAGGGACTTACCTTGAGTCTCAGATGAGACTTTGGAATTTTGAGTTGATGCTGGAACAACCTAGCACATTTGGGACAATTGGGAAATTATCATATTTTGCAATGGGAGAAAAACATGAGCTCTGGCTGGCTAGGGACAGAATGCAATGATATAAATATTTACCCCCTGATACCTCATGTTAAAATCTGACCCCCAGTGTTGGATGTGGGGCCTAATGGGTGCTGTTTGGGTCATGGGGGCCAATCTTTTATGAATAAAGAGATCCTGTCCTCTCTCGGAAGTGAATGAATTGTTACTCTTTTAGTTTCCAAGAGAGCCAGTTGTTAAAAAGAGCCTGGCAACTTCCTAAGCTCTCTGTTCCTCTCTTACCGTGTGATCTCTGCACATACCAGCTCCCCTTTGCCTTCTGCCATGGGTGGGAGCAGCCTGAGGCCCTCACCAAATGCTCAAACATTTCCAGACATCAGAATCCCAAGCCACATGAACCTTGTTTACATAAATTAGTCAGTCTCTGACATTTCTTTATAGCAACACAAAATGGAATAAGACAGCGCTCTCATCACAGGTATGTGTCTCTGGCAGCCAGCCCCCATTCTCAAGATATCCAGGGTCCGCTCAGCCATGAGTCCTCTCATTAATATTCTAACTCTTATCACGCAAGAGATTCTAAGGTTTTTAGGAGAAACCAGGGACAAAGACTAAATGTTTTTGTTATACCTCAGATTACCCGCTTTTCTTTGACCACATATCTTTTATAGGAAAAGGATTATAAAAGTAAAGAGGTATTGGCGTATTATCAGAGTCTCATTCAGTCATTCAAAATTAGAACAGTTTACCATCCTCTCATATGAATATGTCTCCCAGAATGAAGTCACTCAGGTTTGCAGACACCACTCAACCTTACCAGGCTCCAAAAACAAGAATGGTCTCAAGGACATATGGCTTCACTCTTTTAGGCACCCAGTATAATTGACCTAAGAGACAATATCTTCTCTTGCTCACAGCACTTTTGAGGAGTTAAGCTAATATTGAATTTTCCTCATTATATAACCCTTTGATTTATTCACTTACCCTCAGCCACTATTCCTCCTTCTGTCCCTTTATATCAGTCTTTTCCAGTTTTAGAGGTGACATCAGGTTTGTCTGCTGTGCTGACCTAGACTGCAGGCAGCAATAGTATTCTAGCATGCCTTCCCTCGGTCTACTCTTGGTCATAGAGGGTAGGTTATGTAGGTAAGGAACTAGTGGGGGCCATCTGACTACCAGGCTATATAGCTCTATTTACTGTTAATCCTGACTTTGCCAGATGAAATGAAGGCATAGCACCATCTTTGAGTTGCTTGGGAATTCTTATATAAAGATGTAAATATATAGTTATGGTTTTTGGCTTAAAGATAATTCCTGTTTCTGGCACTTTGATTTTCATCCCTATTCCTGGTACCACTGCATCACATATGAAAAAAGAAATTTGAGGTGAAGCGTAGTCATTATTCCAGCATCCTCTCCCCTTCAGAAGAATTGTATGTATAGTCATAACAGCATCGTCCTGATCCATCAGGTAAAAGAGAGGAAGCTATCTAGAGGAGTCACTCTTGCGCCCCACCCATGTGGACAGTGAGCACATTCATGAAGATGTAAAAGCCAGTCCTTCATGTTTATATTGCCCAACAACTATATTGCCAGTTTTTAGACAAACAATGCTTCAACTGACCATTTCAATTTTCTATCAAAGTTTTCTTCTGAGGAGGACATCTCCCTGTGCATTGTTAGCCATTTGAGGCTGTAAAGTGTGTTTTCTTGCGTAAAGAAATGGGACTCAGCAGTCCACATTGGTGCAATCTCTTTTTTTCTGGTGATTTCATAGCCCTTGAAGCATTGACCTCTTCCCCTGGTTGAGCATAGCCCAATCCAGAGTCAGTGACTTTCCTGTCAAGATCCCTTGGCAGCTCCTTTGGGGTTGCTGCCATCAGTCTGGCTTGCCAGCCATGTATGATCAAAGCCTTCCCACTAGAGAATCACATAGCCATCTGCTGCCTCTGTCTGTTTTCTTGACCAACAGTCAAAACAGAGATGATAAGAAATGAGATAAATTACCAAAATTGTGAACAAAAGAGAGATTATCACTAGTGACCCTTTAGAAATTCAAAAGCATTATAAGTGAAGACTCTGAAAAACCTGAAGTCAATAAGTTAGACCACTTAGATAAAATGGACAGATTCATACAAAGATAGAAATTGCCAAAACTGACTCAAAAATAACTAGAAAACCTGAAATAAGGAAAAACAAAAAATAATAATGTATTGCTGTTTTATCTGGCCTAAAAAGCCCATTTGTCAGCCTTCAGTCCTTTGGCCTAAGTTTAGCTCAAATAAGGACTGTATATGCCAAGCTTTAATTCTCTATGTGAATGATAAAACCCCATCTTCACAAGAGGAGATGGGTTATGCTGTTTGCTGGATTAGTGAATTGAGCCCCGTGTTCCCCCTTAAAGAGAAATATAAAGAGCATAGTAAAGAGCCCTCACCCAGTGAAAAGCCCTGGGATCCCCTAACACGCTTGCCCTACACCCTATACATCTCACAAAGTAGAGGACAGGGAGATCAGGGGGCAAAAGGAAGGTCAGAGGAAAAGGATTTGGGAGGTCATGAAGGAGCTAAACCCAATGCTCCCTTAAATCCTTATCCAAACTTGAGGAAAGAATTAGAACACTGTAAGGAAGGACAAACCTGATAAAAACAAGCAATGGGGAAAGGATTCCCGATTTAATAAATGGTGTTGGGAAAACTGGCTAGCCATATGCAGAAAACTGAAACTGGACCCCCTCCTTACACCTTATACAAAAATCAACTCAAGATGGATTAAAGACTTAAACATAAGACCTAAAACTGTAAAAACCCTAGAAGAAAACCTAGGCAATACCATTCAGGACCTAGGCATGGGCGAAGACTTCATGACTAAAACACAAAAAGCAATGGCAACGAAAGCCAGAATTGACTAATGGGATCTAATTAAACTCAAGAGCTTCTGCACAGCAAAATAAACTATCATCAGAGTGAACAGGCCACCTACGGAATGGGAGAAAATTTTTGCAATCTGTCCATCTGACAAAGGGCTAATATCCAGAATCTACAAAGAACTTAATTTACATGAAAAAAACAAACAACTCCATCAAAAAGTGGGCGACGGATATGAAAAGACACTTCTCAAAAGAAGACATTTATGTAGTCAACAAACATATGAAAAAAGGCCCATAGTCACTTATCATTAGAGAAATGCAAATCAAAACCACAATGAGATACCATCTCACACCAATTAGAATGGCGATCATTAAAAAGTCAGGAAACAACAGATGCTGGAGAGGATGTGGAGAAATAGGAACGCTTTTACACTGTTGGTGGGAGTGTAAATTAGTTCAACCATCGTGGAAGATAATGTGGCAATTCCTCAAGGATCTAGAACCAGAAATACCATTTGACCCAGCAATCCCACTACTGGATATATACCCAAAGGATTATAAACATTTTACTATAAAGATACATACACACATATGTTTATTGCGGCACTGTTCACAATAGCAAAGACTTGGAACCAATCCAAATGCTCATCAATGATAGACTGAATAAAGAAAATGTGGCACATATACACCATGGAATACTATGCAGCCATAAAAAGGATGAGTTCATGTCCTTTGCAGGGACATGGATGAAGCTGGAAACCATCATTCTCAGGAAACCATCAGCTACGTGTTCTCTGGGTCTCTCAGAGAAAGACCCACAAGAACAGAAAACCAAACGCTGCATGTTCTCACTCAAATGGGAGTTGAACAATGAGAACACATGGACACAGGGAGGGGAACATCACACACTGGGGCCTGTCTGAGGGTAGGGGGCTAGGGGAGGCATAGCATTAGGAGAAATACCTAATGTAGATGATGGGTTGATGGGTGCAGCAAACCACCATGGCACATGTATACCTATGTAACAAACCTGCATGTTCTGCACATGTATCCCAGAGTTTAAAGTATAATAATGATAATAATAATAAATTGGATTTGTAAGTGTGCCTTTAACAAGTACTGAGGTTAGGAATTTTAAAAAGGAAATGAGGCCACTCTCGGAAGATCCCCTCAGTTTAGCAGAACAGCTAGATCAATTTTTAGAACCTAATTTTTATACTTGGGCTGAGATAATTCAATCATGAATATTCTGTTTACTGGGAAAAAGACGGGAATAATTAGAAGGGCAGCCATAATCATTTGGGAGAGACAGCAGCATCCTCCTGGGTAAGGAGTCCTGCCAGCTAAGCAGAAATTCCCAAATGCAGACCCTGGATGGGATAATAATGACCCCAGGGATCGGGTCCAAATGCAAGACCTTAGGGAGCTAATAATTAGAGGGATTATGCAGTCCACTCATAGGACACAAAACGTCCCCAAAGCATTCAAGATCCAACAACAAGAAGAGGAGACTCCCTCTGCATTTCTGCAGAGGCTCAGGGATCAAGTGAAAAAATATTCAGGATTAAATCCAGAGGACCCAGTAGGGCAAGGCCTTTTAAAGGTTAATTTTGTAACTAAAAGCTGATGTAATATTACTAAGAAACTGCAAAAGATTAACGGATGGAATAAAAAACCAATTAAGGAAATACTGAGGGAAGCTCAGAAAGTTTGTGTGTGTGTGTGAGAGAAAGAGAGAGAGAGAGAGTTAAGCTGCTATACCTGAAGGAAGAGAGACCCAGCGGCACAGCTGTGTGTGGCAGCTGGCTTCTAAAAGCTGTTGATAAAGGTTACTGCTGAGTCATTTCCGCAGAGCTGCCTGTTTTTGCAGACAGACAAGGGGAGCCAGGGCACAGCACGGCTCTGCTCATGCCCAGAGAAAGAGGAAGAAGCTGAATGTGAGACAGAAAGGAAACAGGGGATGACAGAGAGAGAATAGAAGAGGAAAATTAGCAAGAGAGACTAAAAGAGACAGAGATCAAAGAGAAACACAGAAGGTAAAACTGGGGAGACAAATAATGTAAAAGGAAAAAAGAGTACAAGACAAAGTGAGAGAATGCTGAGAGGTTGGCAGGGCTGGGGGAAGTTTCTGGGGACTTAAGCAACAAGGAGGTGCAGGGGAAGGGTGCATGCAGTGCGTGGCCACTGAGGAACGACAAAACCCGGGAACTGGGGGATGGATGCAAGTGAGAAAGGGATGTGGAGGAGAGTTTAGGATCAGGCTGCCTGAGGTGTAACGGGTTGCCTACAGCAAAAACTAGATGGCTGTTTATCAGGAGGTGGTCAAAAGGATTCAAGTTATGGAAGAGTAAATGAATAAGATAACATTAAGGTTTTGTTGTTGTTTTAGTGAGAGGCTGGAAGGCCACCAGGGGCAGTTAGCTGTCAGTAAGGCAGCAGAAGGGCTGGGGTCGCTACATAAGGAAAATCAGTACTAGGGCTGTAAACTCAAATGACTACAGGGCCAGCAAATAATAAAAAGGAGGGCTGCAGGGCTGGGTGGGAACTGTGGCGGCTGCTCAGCTCTTCTTACAGTGCTGGCACTGTGTTGCCAGATTGTCTGCTTTGTCAGAGGACAAAATTCTGACTTTTTATGTAAAATATAATTTTAAAATGCTGATATTCTGTTCAAATAACTTAAAAACCCAAAACAGGCAAAAGAGGATGCCAGTTTGCAATCCCTGAAGTAGAGAGAGCTCGTGCTGGGGAAAAGTCTGCCAAAATGCTTTAAGGTGGAATGTGTAAAAGTTCTGTTTCCCAGAGTCGGGCTGGGCCAGGGGAGGATCCTTGCAGCCCAGGAGGAGGAAAAGCCACTAAGTCCCCTCCCAGGGCTGGACAAACTGGAGACCCTTTACAGTTGCTGGGTCACCAGTGGGGGTTGCATGAAACACAAACAGTGCACCTCTAGGCCTGCCACGGAGAGGAACGGTGCCTTTGAAGCACACACACACACACACACACAAAAAAAAAACAGGAAGGGAGGGCGGAGCCAGAAATGCCTTTTCTAATGAGAGTACCCATCAGGGAAGGCTCCACAGGCTGGCAGATCTTCAAACCAGCAGCTCTTGGCCCAAAGCCAAACCCAGCAGGGCCTGGCCAAGGGCACTCTGGGATGCCAGCTGGTCAGTCCCTTGCCTCCCCAAGTTCCTCCTGGGGTCAATGGGCGCTGGGGAGGTGCCTAAACGAACACCAGCCAGTTTCTTATGAAAAGGAGAGGAGAATAAGAAGGCGTCAGAGTATAACTGTTTAGATATCACAGAGTATCAAACTAAAGTTAGTACCAAACCTTAAAGGAACTCTACTACATAATGGGATGAGGTTGTTTATGAATGGGTCATCCTGAGTAATAAATGGTAAAAGACACAATGGCTGTGCTGTCATGAACAAAAACAAACAATCCTTATGTGAAAAAGTTAAATTACTCAATAACTGGTCAGCCCAAACCTGTAAATTTTATGCTTTTAACCAGACCCTAAAGCTCCTAGAAGATCAAGAAGACACTATATATACTAATTCCAAATATGCCTATAAAGTAGTACACACCTTTGAAAAAATCTGGACAGAGCAGGGCCTAGAAAATAGCAGGGCAAAATAATTGGTACATGGGGAACAAGTTTTAGAAAGCCTCCTGTTTCCAGCAGAGACAGCCATAGTTCATGTAAATGGCCATCAGAAAAGAAACACTATAGAAGCTGTAGGGAACAGGCTTGTAGATAAGGCTGCTAAGCAAGTCTCCCTGGAGGAAAAATTTAAACTGTTTAGCCCAGATATCCCTAAGGTGATATTAAAACCCCAATTTTCAAAAGAGGAGGAAAAGCTAGGCAAGATAGGAGCCACTTAAACTAAGAATGGAAGGTGAGTGCTCCCTGATGGGAGAGAAATAATAAACAAACCCATAATAAAAAATCTAATGTTGGCCGGTGCGGTGGCTCATGCCTGTAATCCCAGCACTTTGGGAGGCAGAGGCGGGTGGATCACAAGGTCAGGAGATCAAAACCATCCTGGCTAACACAGTGAAACCCCGTCTCTATTAAAAATACAAAAAAACTAGCCGGGGCGTGGTGGTGGGTGCCTGTAGTTCCAGCTACTCGGGAGGCTGAGGCAGGATAATGGCATGAACCCGAGAGGTGGAGCTTGCAGTGAGCCGAGATCGTGCCACTGCACTCCAGCCTGGGTGACAAAGCGAGATTCTGTCTAAAAAAAGAAAAAAAAATCTAATGTCTATATTGCATAAGGGAAGTCATTGGGGTCCCCAGGACATGTGTGATGAAATACTAAAGAATTATGGGTGTATAGAAATGTATGCCCTGGCTAAACAAGTGTGTGGGAATTGTGTGAACTCCCAGGAAACAACTTAAGGTTAAAAGAACTTGTAACACAAACCCCACCCCTTGAGTTCACAGTTCACCACTTCCAGCCTGGCAACTCAGTGCTAATTAAGACTTGGAAAGAAGACAAGCTCCACCCAAGCTGGGAAGGTCCCTATCAAGTGAGGCAGCTGTACAAACAGCTGATCAGGGGTGGACACATTACACTCGGGTCAAGAAACTGGTTAAAAAAAAAAACGGAAGGTAAATTGGAAGTGTATAAATCACCTAAGAAATCCTTTAAGCTAATTCTAAGGAAAACCTAAAAGTAAGCCATAAGCAGGCTCCATCACTGGGGGCTGATATGGTTAGAATTAATCCTAACACAAGGGGTGAAAGGAAACCTAAGTATTGTATAAGAACCACACGCCACCTAACTGTAAAAATTTAAAGTGCAATCCTATATTAATTACTATAAACAACCCAGCTACTCTAAACCAGAAACCTTGAAGGTATAAATTAAAAATAAATATCTCAGAAAGGAATCCCATGGGATGGTTAGCTTTTAGGTTAGTCACCAACTCTACCCCAAGCCCATCCAGAATTACTAGAACTCCTGGTCCCATTAACTTCCTTTAACCCACCAAACAATAAACCTAAGAGAGTAAAAATAATTAAAGTAACTGACTTAAGGCAGACTTTAAAAATTAAAACAGGATATAGAGACATAAATGCCTGTGTTAAATGGGTGAAATTTTCAGCACAAGCCCTCGATAAAAGTAACTGTTATGCATGTGCTGCTGGTCAACCTCAGGCACAGGTGGTTCCATTTCCCCTTGGATGGGATACTAATCCCAAAGGAATGTGTTGCGTGTTGGCTGTATACCAAGACAAGGTTGCATGGGGAAATAAGACTTGTAAAAGTCTGTCATTGCTCTTTCCCACTTTGCAGAGATCAGATCCTAAAGCAATCCCCTCATTCTCTATAGGGAATATAAATCACTCCTGTTGTCTCTCTAGACAGAAGGTGAGGTTCGATAAACCTGTGGGAAAACTCACAACCTGCACCCACATCCTAAATGTCACTGGTAACCCAGACTGTGGCAACCACTCAGCTCTCCATATACCCCAGGCAAATGTCTGGTGGTATTTCGGGAAAGGGAACCTCCGTAACTTGTTACCGTCCAATTGGACCGGGACTTGTGCTTTAGTACAATTGGCCATTCCGTTCACCCTGTCATTCCATGAAACAGCTAAAAATACACATGGTCATAGAGATCAGAGTAATTTAGCAATTTATTTTAACCCATATATAATGTGTGTGTGTATATATATATATACACACACACACACACAAACATATGCATATACATATATATATATACACACACACACATATATATATACACACACACATACACACAAGGCTTCTGGAACAGTGGATGAAAGCTTTGTATATCTATCTATCCATCTATCTATCTATCTATCTATCTATCTATCTATCTAAACTCCATAGGAGTACCTAGAGGAGTGCCTAATAAATTTAAAGCACGAAACCAAATACCTGCTAGATTTGAGTCAGCACTTTTCTGGTGGTCAACTATTAACAAGAATATAAATTAGATTAATTACATGTCTTATAATCAGCAAAGATTCATCAATTACACGCAAAATGCCCTTAAGGGAGTAGCCAGACAACTAAATGCCACTAGCTAAATGGCTTGGGAAAACAGAATTACACTGGACATAATATTAGCAGAGAAAGGTGATATATGTGATATGCTGGGTGGAAAATGTGACACTTTCATTCACAACAATGCTGCCCCAGATGGAACCATCATAAAGGGACTGCAGGGACTAACAACTCTAGTCAACGAGCTGGCAGAAAACACAGGAGTAAATGACCTTTTTACTAACTGGTTAGAAGGTTGGTTTGAAAAATGGAAAGGAATGGTACCTTCAATTCTTACATCTCTCGTGATTATGGCTGGGGTCTTAACAGCCATAGGATGTTGTATCATACCTTGTGTGAAGGGTTTAACACAAAGGTTAATTAAAGCAGCTATTAGTAAACAAATGCCCCTAATGTCCCAACAGAATGACTTACTATTATTAAAAGCCAAACTAAACTTCTCCTCCTATAATGAAGAAAGTAAAAAACTTCCAGAACAGTTAATAAACAAAGATATCTAAGTGAAAATAAGACCAAAAAGGGTAAAAAGAAAAAGAGGAGGTAAATGTAAAAAATAACCTACATGTGAAGGTTCATTTTCCTAAGTGCCTTAGAATATGTTTAAGCAGGCCACATGGAAACAAAGAGATAAAGAAGCAAAATATACTAAGCCACAATCCCCTCCTTCCTGCTTTCCCTTTGACCCAGTGTCCAGGAGCCTACTGGTCAGGGCCCCCTCAATGACCCCCCTCCCCACCTCATCAAAGAATTTAGTTTGGGCTAGCTTGCCATCACCTAAGTGCAGCCACTAGGGCGGTAAGTCAAATGCTCAGAGTCTTGAGACAGTCGCCATGCATTATGGGTGGCTGCAACAAAATGCAGCAAAAAATGCAGCAAAAAGACCCTAAAGAACATACTTGAAGTCTTAATACAACTACCAATAGGCGATGCCCAGGAAGACTATAACCCCGTAGTACTCAGCTAATGAGGAATTGGGGAAGGGACTTGCACACTAGGGAAGAAATAGTTTGTTGAAACTGTCCCAGGTGTACCTGCACTCCAGACACCTGATCTTGCAAGACTGTCATTAAAAGTCTCTCTTTCGCTGTTCTCTGGGTCTCTGAGTCTATTTTTTGGGTTTGAATGGGTGAGTTTCTTTCTCACAGGGATGTAGATGGCAACGTGGCTCTCATTCTCCTCCCAAATACCCCAACTTTCATCGCCTGTTCCAGAAGCCTTGTCACCTACAAGCCTATCTGCACAGAAGGTATGAGGGGACCCTACAGCCCAGACAGGGACCCTCCCATCTCTAGCAACTGTCCCCTTTTCTCACCTGGACCCTCTGCACCTGATGTTGTCTTCTTCTTGCATCAAAGGACACAGAGAATACTACTACTAATAATAATACTAATGATGATGAAAGCAGCAACAGCAGCAACATATGGAATGGCTGGTCATCAACTCTGAAGCACCAGGACCATCCCTGAAAAAAAGGGCCTGTTACACACGGGGCACCCACAGCCACAGCTGTTCCTGCTGCCCCCACCCTGGCCTGATCCTCCTTATGTTGGAACCCTCAAGGGTGGTCCCAGGTTCACTAGAGGACACAGGGTGAGTGCTGTGATTCCTGCTGTATCCCATGGAGCAGATGACCCTCTGCTCCTCTCCTTGGGGAATCCTGCAGGCCACCTCTGTCTGGTAGGTCCCATCCCATTGGACAGAACACCCCAAGACTGCTGGGCATCCTGGCTCAAAGACGCCCCATCCTGTCACCAGGTCAGAGAGATATTCTGGAGATACAAGCCAGAGCCCAGCATATCAGGGTGATGTTGCCCTCCAGGGCCTCACTGCAGGCCACACTCATGGTGGAGGAGGGGGGGACTGGAGAAGAAAGGGCAGAGACAATGAGGCACATGGCCAAACCCTGCTCCCCTCTAATGGAGATGCAGGGAACAGGGCTGGTCCGCTCCACTGCTCCGACTCTGGCAGAAGTCCTCACGGACCCCAGACCTTCTGCAAGTCTGTCCTCACCCTGGGGACCAATTCCTCAAGGCTGGCAGAAGGATGGGCCTCGAGACTGTGTCTTTATGCTCTGGGATCCCTGCATTGATGCTGAGGAGGGGAATGTCAGGGGTGGGCTCCTGGTACATGGGGCCAGAGGGAACTCTTTGGGATGGGCAGGCTGGGAAGCAGATGGGGCAGCCTTGGCCCTGGGGGCTTCCTCTCCTGCCTGACACCCACCCAGGTTCAGGCTTCTGTCAAAGGGCCCACTGCTTCCCCAGATTGTGACACTGGACCCTTCAATCCCTGACCCACTGTCTTTTTCCAGTGGCTCTAACAGGAGAGAAAAATCAGGATATAACACACCAACAGAAAACACATGCATCCATAGCACAAGGAGGGTTTCCCTGGACAGAGTTGGGGGTCGGGGTGACTCTAGTGGAATAGGGGAGAGGAAAGCCCCTACCCAGGCCCAGTACCTGCTCTCCTGACACCCACACAGGATTCCAGATACTGCTGTAGTTTCTGCCTGCAGTCTACCCATATAGGGTGAGAGTGTGTCTCGGCCGGCATAGCATCTTCCTTCTAGAAATTTGTGATGTTCATAGCAAAGGTCTGAGTTCTGGAGGACTGGGATACTGTCCATTCCTGAGTCTCCAGGTTGAGAGAGAGGAAGAGCTACCCATAAGAGTAGGAATGCCTAGAGCCCCTGGTGCTGCTGGCTTCCTGATCTCACAACCCCTAATCTCCTGGAGGGAATGCAAGGCTACCCCCACCCAGCAGTTCCAAGTGAGGAACTCAGACCAGAGGAGACCCCTCCCTGGCCCTCCTCCATGCCTTTCTGTGTGGGCTGAGTGCCAGGTTACCTCCCCGCCGAGCTCTGCTGACCCCTATTCCTCACCCCTACCCCCAGCCAGATCCAGTGGGGACAGACAGGTCCCTGCTCTCTGCCCCCAGCTCTCCTGGAAAAGGTCTCCCATCACTCTTGCCTGCTGCCACCTCTCACCTCCCTTCTGTCCCTTGATATATGCCAGGGCCCTTCTGAGGTCCTGCCCATTCTCTGTCAAGTCCTCAGTCTCTGTGTCCCAGGTCTCAGCTCCCAGAACTGCTTCTGCCCACTGTCCCCGGGACCCAGCCCTGCCTTTCTGCCTGTTGAAGAGCAGGAAGGGCTGACCATCCAGATGTCCCTCAGCAAGAAACCCTGACTGCACAGATCCATCCCGGGACAGCACCGTGAGGTTGTAATGAAGACTGTGGGGCCCTGGGGAACAAGAAACCACAGATGAAACTTCTTCCTGGAAGTAACTTCACATTGATGTTTAACACACAGGTCTGCTGTCTCAACCTTTCTGAGGAGGCAGGAAATGTACATATGCAAAGGGACAAGAATGAGGATTTCAGATACAAGGAAAACTGGGAGGGCAGGAGGATGGAGGAGCAGACTGAGGAACAGAAGAAGGGGGAATGGAGATGGCAAACATGTAGGCCAGCTGCCAAGGCAGGGTGGCCACAGGCCACCTAAGGGTATAGGGAGGAGGCCAAGGAGAGAGGCTGCCCTGCAGTGGTGAGGGAGGAGCACGAAGGCAGTGGTGGAAGGAAGGTCTTGCCAGAGGGGAGGGTGGAAATGGGAAGGGACCCAGGCTCAGAGGGACCCATGACCAGCATGGCTGTGCTACACAGGTGAGGGTGAGATGGAGTCGCGGGCCGCTGCCTTTGAGGAAGGCTCATCATGTACAAGATGGGAGTAAGGGAGGATCAGTGCATCTTTTCAAGAAACAGTGCCAGGAAAACGACATTCACATGCAAAAAGAAATGAAGTTGGACTCCTGACTTACACCACATATACAAGTTAACTCTAAATAAATCAAAGACCTACACTCAGGAACTAAAACTGAAAAATTCTTAGAATGAAACATTGGGAATAATCTTCATGACATAGGTTTTGACAACACTTTTATGGATACAACACCAAAGCACAGACAACAAAGAAAAAATTGATAAGTTGGACCCATCAAAATAAAAAAAATTGAGCATTAAAAAACACAATCTGCAGAGTGAAAAAGCAACCATTAGAATGGAAGAAAATATTTGCAAATCATTTATCTAATAAAAGATTAATATCCAGAATACATAAAGAATTCCTGTAACACAAACATAAGACTCAAAAAAACTATGTAGGCAAAGAATTTGAATAGCCAATTCTCCGAAGAAGACATACAAATGGCCAATAGACACATGAAAAGATGCTCAACATCTGTAGTTATTAGGGAAATGCAAATCAAAACTGCAATGGGCTACTACTTCACACCAATTAGGATGGCTATAATCAAACACACACACACACACACACGCACACACAGAGAGAGAGAGAGAGAGAGAGAGAGAGAGAAAGCAAGTTTGGCAAAGAGGTAGAGAAACTGGAACATTTGTGTAGTACATTGGGAAAGACAAAGTGAGGCACCTGCTATGGAAATCAGTGTGTTGCTTCCTCCAAAAACTAAAAAATTAATTACTATGTAATCCAGAAATTCTACATCTGGGTATTTACCCAAAAGAAATGAAAGCAGGAACATTAAAAAGATATTTGAACACTCATGTTCATAGCAGCATAATTCCCAATAGCCAAATTCATAGAGACAGAAAGTAGAACCAGTGGTTCCAGCGGCCAGGGGGAAGGAGGAATGGGGAGCTACTGTTTAGTAGGCACAGAGTTTCAGGATGCACAAAAATGTGAATGTACTTAATGCCACTGAACTGTACACTTTTAAATGGTGAAAATAGTGAACTTTATATATATATTTTACGACAATTAAACAACAAAAAAGAAATTGTCACAGTGTACCAAACAATAATTTAGAATTAGAAAGAGGCTGGGGTCCTGTTCAGAGAGAAAAAAACCAAGGCCTGAGGAAGGGCCTTCAGAGAGGAGTGGTGCTGAAGGCGGAGCAGTCACACTCCAAAAGAGGGTTCAGGTTAGAAAACCCTCACAGGAGGAAGGTGGTGCTGGGAGAAGGCCCAGAGGAGGGGATGACCACAGCCCACTATGTGGTAAGTGAACATTTTGGATATTAAGTCAAGGAACTGACAGCCCACCGGGGTCAAGGAACTGAAAGAGGATGAGGGTCAAGGAGCCGTTGGACTAGAGCCTGTGTTGGGTCTGGGTGGGGGTGAGGAGATGGGCAGGGCAAGGACTAAAGGGTGGCATGAGAAGGAAGGGGGGTGACCCTGAGAGAACTTGGGGTAAAGTGAGAACAGGAAGGGAGGGGTTGTCTGGGGGAGGGTGGGGTTTGGGGAAGGTGAGAACTTGCTGAGGGCCCAAGGCAGCTGGTCAAGAGGTGGGAACAGCACAAGGTCCCAAGGCAGAGAGGGGCAGAGGGACCAGGGAGGGATGGTCCAGCACCTGAGGGCTGCAGGGTGGGGTCCTCAAGAGGGTGAGGCTGAGGATGAAGGAGTGGGGAACGGGTCACCTGACTCAGGGCCCAGAGCAGGCATCTGCACTGGAGGGGAGGGGGCATCTGCGTTGCCCTGCGCCCTGCCTAAGGCCCAACTTTCATTAGCACCATGCCCCTTAAGTGGCCTGGAGGGGAGTGGGATGGAGGGAAGACTCCCCCGACAAAAGGCAGCACCAGAAAGTTAGGGTCAGGGACAGCTGGGAATGGGGAGGCATAGGGGCAGCACTGGGTGAAGGCTGCTGGTAGGAAAGGCCCATAAGGGAGGCAGGAGGGACCTGCGGTGGTGGGAGCAGGGGATGAGGGCAGAGGACACCCTACAAATGGATCAGAGAACTGCAGATAGAAAGGGGTAGCAGGGAGCAGGGAGGGCAACAGGACCCAGGGGGCCATGAGAAAGGAAGCTGAGGAAGTAGGAGGGAAACTGGTGTCCTTAGATCATTGGAGTCCACAGTAGCTGGGAGGGTTGACAGAGAGGAAAGAACCCTGGGAACGGGAGGCGAAGGGATAATGAGCTGGGGATGGGAGCAGTCGCAGGAAGAATCCTCTGCCTGGAGCCGGCAGACTCCAACCCCTCAGCTTGAGAGTCAGGAGCCCCATAGTCCCCACAGCAATAGGAAGCACCAGCTCCTGGTCCCGAAAAAAGGAAGGCCCCAACTCCAGGGACTGCGGCCCGCCCTGGAGCTGAGAACACGCGGACTCCAGGGAGAGGACAGGGCTTCAGGGACCCGAGAGCCGCTCTGAGCACCGGGGGATGTGGCTGCCTCAGCGGCAGAGCTGGAAGGGCCCTCGAATGCCATTCACAGGAACAGCCCAGGAACCCAGGGACTTCAGAAGGGCTGGTTTGTCCGAAAAGTGAGAGAAGGCGGAGGAGAGGTGAGGAGAGCAAGTGCAAGAAGAGACCAGAAAGTGCAGGGGGCGGGTGATGCGCGATCCCGAGGAGGACTGAAAAGAGACTGAAAAGCAGGGCTGAGGAGTGGCGGCAACCGGCAGCGTCCAGCTCCCGCACCTCGCTGCACATCGCACCTGAGCCCCGCCGCGACCGCATCGCGCTCGCTGCGACCCATTCGGACCCCCCAGAAACGCCAAGCCGCTCCCGCTCTAGCCGAGGGCTAGAACAATCCTGCCACCTCAGCCTCCTGAGTAGTTGGGACTACAAGCGAGTGCCACCACGTCCAGCTGTCATTTACCATCTGGTACCAACCCCCATTAGACAATGAACCATCCATGATCACTAACTGTGTCCCTTCCATCTTCGTCAGCTTTACGAGCATTTTTTTTCCCAATGGAACTCCACCTATGATTACTAACCATTCCCCAGGACCCCTAGCCTACACTTTTCTGTAGATGAAAATGTCATACACCACAGAGTTTTAACAATTACTTAGTTTTCCCATCCACATTCACTGATTATTTATTTCGAGCATTATCATTTATTGAGCACAGCAGGGACTGGGGTCTTGTCCCCACCTTAGAGGGATTATTTACACTGCTATAGGTCACAAGGGTAGTGAGGGGCAGAGAGGGAGATGGACCCAGCTCTCCTGACGCTGGTCCCAAGCTCTTCCCTCCACAGTGTCTACACTCTCTCGAGGACTTTTTCTCCCTGTGCCAGTTCCAGCAAAGGATCTCATTCAGCTCACCCCCAAGAAGACTTTTAATACTTCAATGACGATGATACTAATAATAATAATATGCAAAGTTTGTTCCAACGCATTTAGAGGTGATCGAGACAAGACACGAAGCCAATCCCTCCCTTTCTGGGGCAGGGGAGGCAGTGATGATCTTGGACTTTGGATGAGTCGCTCCCCAGGGTCTAGGCCTGGCTGCCCCTCACCAACCAAATCTCCCAGGTCTTTTCTGTCCAAAGCCCTCCCCCTCTACCCTACCTCCAGCCCCTTCTGCTCTGAGCCATCAACTACGTTTTCTCCCTCAGCACTCGCCTTAGATTCCTGGACTTACCAGCACAAAGGTGATTTTCTCCTCGCAGACTGTAGGCGCCACTGCTGGGTCCGGAAAAGAAAGAGAAAAGGCCCAGCGTGGTCGCGTGTGTAACTCAGGACGCGGCTGCGCTGGGCGCCCGAGCGCGTTCTCAGGACTGCGGCCCGGAGTTCACTGCGAGGACTGGGATCACCCATCACCCCGCCCTGGTCTACGGAAAATGACAAGTGTTTACTGATATAGAAACGGAATAACGGCGCTGTGGGCTGGGGAGGGCCGAGCTGCCTTCAGGGTTCTGGTCTCCAGCTGCGGGGCACTCACACCTGCCGCTGTGAAAATGCAGACCCGCGGGGCAGGAATTCCGAGTCCGGGCTGGAGCGCGATCTGGAATCTGACTCGCTTGAAACAGCACCGCGGTGGATTCGGAGCCGGGTGAGCAGGGAACTGCGCCTCAGCCCCTCCCACGGGCCGCCCACTGATTCCAGGATCCGAAAACGCTTCCAGCTGCTCCGTCACCCCAGGAAGGCAGCGCCGGCCACTGGGCGGTTCTGGTGGAAACGGGCTCCGCCGCCCGCAGGAAAACTCACAACTAAGGGACCAGGAAAAAGCCTCTCAGGGTCGCGCGCCTTCAGTGAGGATCCTAATTTACACCCCGAGTGTGGCCCCGTCAAAGACTAGAGCGAAGGTCACTGAAATGACACAAGATCAGCGAGGCCCAGGGCGCTGCCGCTCACAGAATGCGGAGACACGGCTGCCTCGCGTCCCTTCCCTGACCTGCCCCAGGCGGACGCGGTGACGTGTGTTTGCCTCGAGGCTGGAATACATGGGGATCAAATGCAGAGAATGGAGAAAGGAGGGAAGGATGGGGGGACATTTCGAGGAAAGGAAGGGAGAGGGAGAAAAGGGGAGAGAAAAGGTGAAGGTGAGAATAATATCTGAAAGATGTAGTTTTATTATTTCTAATTTTATTTTTGCCCTTTATCTAGTTTTGTTATTTATGAACATTTTTACCAAAGCTTTTTTTTCTCTGTGTGTGAATCTGTAAATATACGGCTTATTATTCTTATTTCAGAGCCTGCGAGGTCAAGCTGCAGAGAACATGAGCTTCTACCTCCAGATGTGCCAGGGTGCATCTCGTGGGTGCAAGAACAAGGGTTTTGTTTTGTTTTACAAAATCAAAGTACAAATCTCAAATAGAATAATATTTTTAAACCATTATTGGGACATACTTTGCACACAATCAGTGTATCTATTTGAAATGCACAGCTCATTGAGTTGTACTGCTTGGCTGTTTTACACACCCACATATCCACTACCACAATGAAGATAAAGAAATAACATTTCCATAGTCCCCTAAAGAATAGCCACGCGATAAAATTCCACGCAGTCCTTAAAAAGAGGAGGATAAATTTGTAAGTATTGTTATGAGAAGATCTGTGCCCAGCCTACTTTTATCCATTTTTAAAAGGACGAGGATATATGGAATTATAATACCAGTAATACCACTTACATAATATATATTTTAAGTAGGGGAAAACATGGAGGATTATTCCCCAAAATTTTGACAGGGACCCCAGGGACTGGGATAACGTTGTGACTTTCACCTTCTCTGAAATGTTGGAATTTTATATTACAGAATAAACTTGGATTTTGGCCAGGCGCGGTGGCTCAGGCCTGTAATCCCAGCTCTGGAAGCTGAAGGATAGCTTGAGCCCAGGAGTTCGAGGCTGCAGTGAGCTATGATCTCACCACTACACTCCAGCCTGGGTGACAGCAAGAGATCTTGTCTCAGAAATAAATAAATAAAATTTAAAAATAAAAATAATAAACTTGGATTTGTGTGGTGGTTAAGAAAAAATATTTGTTTGAAAATATTATAAAGATAAGCCACACACCCAAATAGTTACAGGATTTTAAAAACCAAAGTGTTAATTAAAACCCAACTCCAGAAACTCTCTTTTAAGGGGGCTTCATATTTTCATGTCATTAAATCTTTCTCAAAGTATCTTTGATAGAGCCGTTTTTAGTGCAGTAGAGAGATGTGTAACAATTTTACAAAAGGGGCGGGCTGTAATAAAAAGGGAAAGGCAAAATCCAGTGTGGACACACTGTCCCATTTATTTTCAAAGCACGTTTGAAAACTGCGCTGCTATAGCGTCTTTGGGTTGAGACAAAGTCGAGGAAAATCTTGTTCCTGGAGTACTGATTTCCTTTTTCCCAGGGCCAAAGTCTAAAACTCAGAAGCAAGTCTAAAAACTCAGGCTGACTTTCAGATCTGAAGAAATCTCAAGAATATTTGTGTGGAAGAACATTCCATGCTAATGGGTAGGAAGAATCAATATCGTGAAAATGGCCATACTGCCCAAGCTAATTTATAGATTCAATGCCATCCCCATCAAGCTACCAATGACTTTCTTCACAGAATTGGAAAAAACTACTTTAAAGTTCATATGGAACCAAAAAAGAGCCTGCATCACCAAGTCAATCCTAAGCCAAAAGAACAAAGCTGGAGGCATCACATTACCTGACTTCAAACTATACTACAAGGCTACAATAACCAAAAGAGCATGGTACTGGTACCAAAACAGAGATATAGATCAGTGGAACAGAACAGAGCCCTCAGAAATAACACCACATATCTACAACTATCTGATCTTTGACAAACCTGAGAAAAACAAGCAATGGGGAAAGGATTCCCTATTTAATAAATGGTGCTGGGAAAACTGGCTATCCCTATGTAGAAAGCTGAAACTGGATCCCTTCCTTACATGTTATACAAAAATTAATTCAAGATGGATTAAAGACTTAAACGTCAGACCTAAAACCATAAAAACCCTAGAAGAAAACCTAGGCATTACCATTCAGGACATAGGCATGGGCAAGGACTTCATGTCTAAAACACCAAAAGCAATGGCAACAAAAGCCAAAATTGACAAATGGGATCTAATTAAACTAAAGAGCTTCTGCACAGCAAAAGAAACTACCATCAGGGTGAACAGGCAACCTACAACATGGGAGAAAATTTTTGCAATCTACTCATCTGACAAAGGGCTAATATCCAGAATCTACAATGAACTCCAACAAATGTACAAGAAAAAAACAAACAACCCCATCAAAAAGTGGGCAAAGGATATGAACAGACGCTTCTCAAAAGAAGACATTTATGCAGCCAAAAGACACATGAAAAAATGCTCATCATCACTGGCCATCAGAGAAATGCAAATCAAAACCACAATGAGATACCATCTCACACCAGTTAGAATGGCAATCATTAAAAAGTCAGGAAACAACAGGTGCTGGAGAGGATGTGGAGAAATAGGAACACTTTTACACTGTTGGTGGGACTGTAAACTAGCTCAACCCTTGTGGAAGTCAATGTGGCGATTCCTCAGGGATCTAGGACTAGAAATACCATTTGACCCAGCCATCCCATTACTGGGTATATACCCAAAGGACTATAAATCATGCTGCTATAAAGACACATGCACACGTATGTTTATTGCGGCACTATTCACAATAGCAAAGACTTGAAACCAACCCAAATGTCCAACAATGATAGACTGGATTAAGAAAATGTGGCACATATACACCATGGAATACTATGCAGCCATAAAAAATGATGAGTTCACGTCCTTTGTAGGAACATGGATGAAATTGGAAATCATCATTCTCAGTAAACTATCGCAAGGACAAAAAACCAAACACCACATGTTCTCACTCATAGATGGGAACTGAACAATGAGAACACATGGACACAGGAAGGGGAACATCACACTCTGGGGCCTGTTGTGGGGTGGGGGGAGAGGGGAGGGATAGCATTAGGAGATATACCTAATGCTAGATGACGAGTTAATGGATGCAGCACACCATCATGGCACCTGTATACATATGTAACTAACCTGCACATTGTGCACATGTACCCTAAAACTTAAAGTATAATAATAATAATAATAATAATAATAATAATAAAGACCAAAAAAAAAAAGAATGTTTGTGCGGACAGCTACGCTCTAAGAATCCAGCTCTCTTGGGCTCCAAGCTCAAGCTCTCTGGGGCTTCACCCAGTGACAATGGCCGGAAGGACAGGACACAGTGAAATGGCACCAGTGAGTCAGAGGCCAAAGGAGGATTTCTGGCCCCAGCGCGCAGGATGTGCTTTGTTATAGTGGGGTTGGGATAGCGGAGCGGAGGCAAGGACACTCTGGGAATAAATGGCGAGAAAAAGTGCGCTAGGGAGGATCCAAAGCCTTCAGACTTCTTCCTTTCCTTCCTGTTGGGTGGGAGGGGACCAACATGGTCCCTGGTGGGGAGGTCCGTGGGATGCAGAGAATGGGGTCGCTGCAAAGGGGCGTTGCGCGCCCCACGCAAGGCTTCTGGCACTCTTCTCCTAGCTACTACTGATGAGTTCAAACTAGCAGGAGACTAAGACGTGTCCTTTGCAATGTAGACTCCATATCTTGCACTTCGGCTGGTTTACTAAATCCATCTTAATAAAACACAAAAACAAAGAACCAAATTCTGCGTGTGATATTTCTGACCTCTAGAAGGTCCTCCCTCTCCCCATTCCTCGTGGGCTCCCTTCTTGCCCCGCCCCCTCCGCTTTGTCTCCACTTCTCCATCCCTGTCCATCTCTGGACCCCGCTCCTGAGTATCTCCCCCCTTCTTCAGAGGACTTCCCCTCATGGAGTACAGACTCCTCCACCTCCAGGAAAAAGAGACAAAGTCCACTGAGAAGGAACTGAGAGACTCCTGTTACTCCACCCCTGAAGTCAGCCTGTCCCACAACGCTCACTCAGGCTGCATGTGTGTGTGTGTGTGCCTGTGTGTGTGTGCCCGTGTGTGTGAATCTGTGTGTGAGAGTGTGTCTAAATATGTGTGTGAATGTGTGTGCGACTGTGTGTGCCTGTGTGTATCAGTTAGCGTGTGTATCTGTATATGAGAGAGAGTGTGTGTGTATGTGTGTGTGTGTGTGCGTGAATGAGAGTCAAAGTGCTAAACCTGGCATCCAGGAAACCTCCCCACCTTGGCACTGCACGCAGGAGTCAGTGTTATGTGCACCTGTGCTTTTATTTCAGGAGCTGAGACAATTGTATTAATCAGATGTGCAGAGAGCCAAGGGCCCCACGCTGGAAAGCATCAGAGAGGAGGGTGAGATTGGAGGAGCCCCTGACTCCAAGTCTCTTGATCACTCTTACACAGGGATCTTGAAAAAAAAGTGCAGGACACTCCGTTCTCTCCTGGGAGTGACAGGGAAGCCAGAGCCACTGTGCGTGTCAAATTCCATCAAAGAAAAACCATTATAGCAAAACTTCCATGTCACAGTTTTAAGCCTGCACAATGACTCAAATAGAACCAATACCAAAAAAACAAATTCCTAGCTCAGGTGAGGTCAGTGAAGTTGGCTGTCAGGTGTAAAGGAAACTGCAGGTATAAAGAAGGACACCTGTAGATAGGGCTGCAGCCCAGTCGCCCCTGCATCTTAGGGCGCCTGGAAAGGACTGTCTCCATTCAATAGTGCAGGGTGAGGACATTTTGGGGGAGAAATATAGACTGTCCTTAGACCCCTGGGGTTTGTACATTTACTTTCTGACTTTTTAGCTGTTGACTTCATTTTTGAACAAATTACAGTTACATAAATTTGCTTTGACTTTAAGTGTAAAACAGGAAAATATTCCTGAAACAGGAAACAAGGGCCAAGTGACCTGCACTGTCACCCCCCTCTGTGGCTCCCTGATGCAACACAATTGTGAGCCAACAAATCTATGGCTAGGGAAACAGTCAACTCCATTTCTGCAAATGTTTCAGATGTTCCTTCTTGCTGAGTAATGTTCTAGTTTTACCCCAGCCTTAATATTTTAAGTCTATATTTTCCCAGCTGTTTTTTTTGTTGTTGTTGTTGTTTTTGAGAAGGAGTCTCATTCTGTCACCCAGGCTGGAGTGCAGTGGCACGATCTCGGCTCACTGCAACCTCCGCCTCTCAGGTTCAAGCGATTCTCCTGCCTCAGCCTCCCCAGTAGCTGGGATTACAGGGGCCCGCCACCACGCTTGGCTAATTTCTGTATTTTTAGTAGAGATGGGGTTTCACTGTGTTGGCCAGGATGGTCTCAATCTCCTGACCTCGTGATCTGCCCGCCTCGGCCTCCCAAAGTGCTGGGATTACAGGCATGAGCCACTGCGCCAGGCCTTGTTGGTTTTTAAATAATGCATGTATATTTATTATTTGGTTTGTTGTAGTAAGCCATCTGGAATCAACTGTGGAAATAAATGAATGGTTCTCTATTAAATAACTGCTGAGACCATCTGAAAAATGTATTAACCCCAAAACCAATCACTTCACACTCGTCTACTGCCTCCTCCCCAGAGCCATTCTCTCTAGGATAGTAAATCCGACGGGCCTTCCAGCTGGGCTGCCTGCTGCATCTCATGCAGCTGTCCATCACCCACACAACAGGCAGAGTGAAGCTTTCGAATGGGAATTAGAGCCCATCCTCACCACCACATCCCAGAGACACTCCAGCCTCTTCCCTTCCTCTCTCCATTTCCTATTAGCCCCTCAACACGGGGCCCCTCTGGCCATTCTGGCCTCATCTCACCACTCTCAGCCCAGATCACTCATCTGCACTCGCACCAGTCTCTTGTCACTGCTCAATCCTGTCTCTGCCACCGGCCCCTGCTGGTACTCCCACATGCACTTGCTCCCTAGGGATCCACATGGCTCACTCCTCATGCCATTCAGTTCTCTGCTCAAATGTCCCTTAGTCAAGTTCTCAGGAACCTCTTATCCAACAAAATATATCTCCTGCCATCCTCACCACCACCAATCTTCTAACCCGAGTATATTTTCTCCATAACAATTATCACTGATATTAGAATAAATTTGAAAGTTGTTGTCTGTACCACTAAAACATATTATTTGAGGCCAGGACCTTGTCCAGCCACCACTTGTATCCCTAGCATCTAGAACATACCAGTACAGAGGAGGGGCTTAACAAATAAGAGGTGAATGATGGGTGAATATAATTGGTATGCTGCTTTTGATAAGCAATTTTATAACATGTGTGTCCGAGGCGGGTGGATCACCTGAGGTCAGGAGTTCGAGACCAGCCTGACCAACATGGTAAAACCCCGTCTTTTCTAAAAATAAAAAAATTAGCCAGGTGTGGTGGTGCACGCCAGTAATCCTAGCTACTCGGGAGGCTGAGACACAAGAATGACTTGACCCTGGGAGGTGGAGGTTGCAGTGAACCGAGATTGTGCCACTGCACTCCAGCCTCAGTGACAGAGTGAGACTCCATCTCAAAAACAAAGCAAAAAAAGTTCATGCAGTTTGACCAAATAATTTATATTTGAGAAATCTATAATTCTACAATGAAATGCAAAATATAGAAGAATCTTTAGGTATAAGGATATTAATCAGATATTATTTACAATAAGGAAGAAGAACTTGTAAAAGAAGAGTAGCTGGGTCATTTTTTGGAAATAGTATACAGCCAGGAAAAGTACTGTTTAAGAAGAGTTTATGATAACATATAAAGTTGCTTATTGATAATAATAAAATTTGAAAAGCAAGATTCAAAATAACTCATACAGTGTGACTGCACTAAGTCATCCTGCACAGACACCACATGCACAGAAACCAGGGGTGGAAACTCAGGGGGCAGCTGCAAAGCACAGCTCCAGGGCCCCTTTTCACTGACGTCTCTGAGGCTCTGCCAGGCAGAGGTTCATCCGGATCCTCCCAGTGGGGACACAGGTGTTTTCCATCTTTCTGCTTCACTACATTTTTTATATTTTCTGTAATTGAGCAGATTCTACTTTCTAAAAGGGTAAAATGCTGATTATGAAGTTTTACAACATTTGAAATACAATTTTAATGAAAAAGTCCAAATGTCCTGTCCCAACTCAGGTCACTTTCTCTTTTTTTAGAGATAGGGACTTGCTCTCTCACCCAGGTTGTAGTGCAGTGAGTTGATCATAGTTCACTGCCGCCTTGAGCTCCTGGGTTCAAGTGATCCTGCTGCCTCAGTCTCCAGAGTAGCCAAGACTACAGGAAAGCCCCAAAATGACCATCTAATTTAAAAAAAAAAATTGAACAGAATACATCTCACTGCTTCCCAGGCTGGTCTTGAACTCCTGGGCTCAAGTGATCCTCCTGCCTTAGCCTCCCCAGTGTTCTAGGATAACATGGGTGAGCCACTGTGCTCAGTCCTAACTTAGCTTGAAGCAAAGTCTCCTCTCCATGTCATAGGGCAAAAACTCCAGCTGATGGAGCCTTCAGAAAGAAGAAATAAACTCTTCCTCCACAATGCCTCATCCATCCCTGGGTTATAGGCGTCGGCTGAATGATAAAGTCAACACTGAGAATATGATCATTTTAGATTACTGATTGTCATTTAATTTTAATTCCACCACACCTGAGAGAGTGGGATGGATTCTTTCTTTTATTATGATTTGAGCATCTGAGTCCCTTCCATCCTGAACATCTGACATGGGTGCTTCAAAAATGTAGGTCTTGAGACTTAAAGGGCACTTGGTCTCCTGAGCAGGCCCCCTGCATGCGCCACACCCACTAAGGCTCCATAACAGTGGGAAGAGCAGCCACAGTCAGAGCCCAGGTGGGTTCACACTGAGGGACCATCCACATCCAGGGTACGCTGAGGAGGGGCTGAGGTGAGAATCCAGCCCCTGCCTAGGCTCTGGGTGAGAGGTGGGCAGGACAGTCAGCTACTGAGTATTACTGGAGCTATTGCCTTTTTTCTCCTGAAGACCCCACCCCTGCACACACCAAAACTTTACATTCTTTGTGGAGCAATTTTCTTTTTAGAAATGTAAACACCCCCTAATCTTAAAGCCACCCAATATCACTCATAGTGACACCGCAGTAGGATAAGCTCTTAACTCCCACCAAATTAGCCTCAGAGTTGTAGTTTTTGTTTGTTAGACATGGGGTCTTACTCTGTCATCCAGGCTAGAATGCAGTGGCATGATCACGGCTTACTGCAGCCTCGAACTCCTCGGCCCCAGAGATCCTCCCACCTCAGACTCCTGAATAGCTGTCACTAGAGGTGAACGCCACAAGCCCCAGCTAATGTTTTGTGTTTTTTGTAGAGATGGGGTTGTGCCATGTTGCCCAGGCTGGTCTCTAAGGCCTGGGCTCAAGTGATCTGCTGCCCCGGCCTCCCAAAGTGCTAGGATTAGCATGAAGCCCCACACCAGGCCTGCAGCTGAGTATTTGGAGCTAAGGCAGGAAGTTGCTGTGGAGTTTGTACCCAGCTAATTTGAAAGGTGGTCCTGAAAGGTAAAGTGCGATTAGGTGGACCTTGGTGGGGAAGCATAGATGTTTCTGGTGAGAAGAGAACAAGATAGATGGGAAGCTTCTAAAAGTGAACATCAGTGGGCCCTGTGCTCACACAGCACTGGGATTTGGAAGACCTTTTCCCACCCACTTTTGGCTTGTGAGCTTTTATTCCACCTTCTTGTCTCCTAGGTCATTGCAGGAAATCCCTTCATTTGGTAAACATTTATCAAACACCTACCATGTGCTAGGCATTGTGTTAAAGGAGCTGGGGCTGAGGTAAGAGGAACCAAACCCCCCTTGCCTTCAAGGTTAAGCCGTCTTGCTCAGGCAGAGATCAGTAAGGAAACTCTTTATTTATTTATTTATTTATTTATTTATTTATTTATTCATTTATTTTTTTAGACAGAGTCTCACTCTGTTGCCAGTAAGGAAATTCTTACACAAATGGTTGGCAGAATATGCAACTTGCTTTGCGGATGCACATGTAGACCATCTGCTCTGACCAAGGAGTCACAGAAGCTTCATAAGACACAACATTTGAGCTGCGTTTTGAGGTATAAATAGGAGTCTGACAGGCATCCAGGACAGGAGAGCATTGCTCAGAACCCAGGACATGAATTTTTCTCTCCTAGGCCAGGCCAGGACTCAGACTAAGCTGACTGAGGAGCCAGGTGCTTCCTGGCAAGGAAGTGTGTCCCATATATGACTATGCAGAAGTCACAGCTGCTCAATATTGAGTCTTGAGACAGAGAGAGAGAGGCCTGATTTGAAATGCAGAATTCTGCTGGGGGCCCGTTAAAATGCAGTTTCTGATTCAGTAGGTCTGAGGCAGGGCCTGAAAATTGCATTTCTAACAAGTCCTCAGGTGATGCCAATGCTACTTGTCCCAGGAACACACTTTGAGAATCACCACCCTAAGGCAATCCATATTGATTTCTAATATCAGAAGAGGGCTGACAGGCAAAGGTATAGGATAAACTAGACCATGCATGGGCCATCTTGGAGAGCACCCCACCCAAGTCTGCAGCATTTGATTTCCTTGGGATCCCGGGAATGGCAGACACCCAGGAAGGAATCAAATGTGGGGTTACAGGGCAATCCAGAGGCTGAGCTTCACACAGCATCTGGGGTTCCCACTACTTCACAAGTGGCCCCCACACCCCCAATCCTTCCCACCCCTTATGAAACTGACCTACGAGTCTTGCTCTGCTGTCCTGGGCTGTTTGGGCCTGGGATGTGAGCTCTGACTATACCTTCTGATCCAAATACAGGGTGACCTCATATGACACATACTTAGAATGGGCTCATAATGAGAACCTTCCAAATTCAGCAAATGGATTCAATCGTGTGTTTTCCAGGAGAATTACCAAGTGTTCTCTTTTCTAAATATCACATACTTGAGCTCACATGGACAGTAGAGGAAGTTCTGAGCCTGCTGAAGCCACAATTGGTACATTGGACCCCGTAGAATTCCTTGTAGATTGGGCTTCACCATTTACATCAGGATTTGGTCAAAATTTCCTTCACCAAACCGGTTGCATTTGTTAAGTAACCATGCTCTCATTTTGACTTTTAATGAATGAAAGACAGACACACACATAAAGAAAGATAGTGCAATGAAAAAGAAAACAACATACTGAATTAAAGTGACAGGAAACATCCTTGTTTGAGAAGTGATATAATTTTTAGACAGTTTTTTTTTTAATTAAGGAAGGTAAGAGAATTAATTCTGTTAGGCTCTTTTTTTAAGTTTTTTATTTTGAAGGATTTGATTTTGTTTGTTTTGTCTGCCTTGGAATTATCTTTTATTTTATGTTTTGACTTGGCTCAAAACTCAAAAAGTTAAAAGTCTCTCTCTTATGCTACCCCATCTTGACAGGCAGCTATTTATATCAGTTTCTTGCTTATTCTTTCAAAGGCATTTTATGCATATGCAAGTCAATCTAAATGTATATGTATATAATCTTTCTCCCATTTCACACAAATTTTAGCAAACTACATATGCTTTCCTGCACCTTGCCTTTTCCCTTCACATTGTATCACAAAGACCATCACATGAAGAAATACCAAGAGCTTAGCTACATCTTTGTTTGAAATTTTCATGATACACCATTGTATATATATGCAATATTTTAAAAAAAAATAGAGATTGCTTCTTTTGAGTGCGGTGCTTTTTAATCAGCCCCCTCTTGATAGGCATTTGGATTATTTCTTTCAGAGAACAATTTTGCATCATGTAACATCATATGGAAAAGCTGTAGTGACCCCACTCCTATATGCATATTCTAGGGAAACTCACATATCTCTGAGAGCAGGAGGCAATGTCCCAGGATGTTCATTGCAGTGAGGTCTACAATAGAGAAAATCTAAAGGTCAATGAAGAGGGAAAGAGAAGAATTGTAGTATATTCCTCCCATGGAATACTATCCACCAATGAAAGCAAATGAACTATTTGTATGAACATAGATTCATGTCATAGAACATGTTAACTGAAAAAGCAAGCAAATGAATGATAAAATTAGCCAGAAACAATTTATAAGAAGTCTAAAAGCAAAGCCAGGCAAGGTGGTGTACACTTGTAATCCTAGCACTTTGGGAGGTCATGGTGGGTGGATCGCTTGAGTTCAGGAGTTCAAGACCAGCCTGGGAAACATGGCAAAAACCCTCTCTCCAAGAAATACAAAAATTAGCCCGGCATGGTGGAGCATAGCTATACCCCCAGCTACTTGGGTGGCTGAGGTAGGTGTATCGCTTGAGCCTGGGAGGTTGAGGTACAGTGAGCTGTGTTTGTGCCACTGCACTCAAGCCTGGGTGACAGAGTGAGGAGACCTGTTCTAAAAAAACAAGTCTAAAAGACTTCAAACAAAGAGATTTCCTAAAACTTAGTAAAAATATAAAGGCATACACTAAATTCAAGTCACACATCCTCTTGCAATTCTTGATTTGCTCAGTACAGTACTGACTGAAACATGTGCATATCAGAGCTGTGAAAAATCAAGGCTATCTACATATATTTCTATTATTTTTCTATGTATACTACATATAGCCAATAATATTAAAATGTCGCCAATTGACAGACCTGGGTGGTGCCTTCACAAAGATTTTTTATAATTTTCTATTCTTTCTTCCAGCTGGAACTACTTTGAATTAATGTTTGTGAAGTGAATCCACAGGAACTGAGCAAAATAAGAAAAGAGTTATTGAGTGTGAGGAAAGCTGCACAGAGGTACAGACAGATGGAGAGATGACAATACTGAGCATGTCAGTGACCTTCACAGTAACAGACTTCCTGGAGGAGTGTGAGCTTGAGCCAGAATGAAGAGGATAAAATATAAAAGAGGGATGAAGGAGTGGGGACTTTAGGGGGCAAATATGGGATTGAGTAGGCCAGACTGGGAAGCGTGGATGGATTCTGAACATTCCACTTTAGGTCTAGCACTTAGAGAAAGAGAAATCATGTTTATTTAGCTCCTTCCACAATCTTTAGAGAAATCTTCTGAAACATTACAAAAAAGACACATGAATGGCCAATAGTCATCAGGGAAAAATGCAAAGTAAAACCACAGCGAGAAACCACTAAGCACTTATTAGAATGGCTGAAATTTAAGTGATTAATAAATATAAATGTTGTCAAGGATGTGAAACAGTCTCATCCACTGCCTATAAGAATATAAAACAGCCACTCTGAAAATCACTTTTATATCATCTAATAAAGTTAAACAAGCTAGTACTCTATGGCTAGCATTTCCACTCCTAGGTATTTACTCAAGTGAAATAAAGATTATGTCCAAGAATCCCTGTACAATAATGTCCATAGTTCATTTGTAACAATAAAAAACCGTGAATACCCCCAAAATGTACAAAAAAATTGTGACTCAGTGATACAATGCAATACTACCAGCATTAAAAATGAATGAATTACTGATACATGCAACAAGCTGGGCAGACCACATAGATATTACACCAAGTGCAAAAAGCTAGGCACAAGGGAGGCCATATGGGATGAATGGATACGTATGAAGTTTTGAAACAGGAAGAGCTACTCTATCATGATAGTCATCAGATCAATGGCTGCTGGGGAAAGGGGGCTAATTTGAAGGCAGAAAAATAGAGAACTTCGTGTATCTTCATAGTGGCATGGGTGCTATGGCTGTATTTGTCAAAATTCATTGATGAATTTGATACAGATCTGATCATTTCAGTATATGTAAATTTTACAAGTTTAAAATGCTTACAATAAAAATTTAAACGTTAGTAATAAAAAATAGTAATTGAAAATATTAGCAACAAAATCCAACAACAGATCAAAACAATACACCATAATCACGTGAGTTTTATACCCAGGATGCAAGGATTGTTTGACATATGTGAATCAAAATATGTCATATACCGCATCAACAGAATGAAGGACATAAACCATATTATCATCTCAATAGATGCAGAAAAAGCATTTGGTGAAACTAAACATTGCTTCTTAATGAGAACTCTCAAAGGAGTTCCTCTGACAAAGGAACCAAGAATATACACTGGGGAAAGAACAGTCTCTTAAATAAATGGTGCTGGGAAAATGCTACCAGATGCAGAAGAATGTAACTAGACCCCTGTCTCTCACCATATACAAAAAATCAACTCAAAAGGGATTGTAGACTTAAACGTAAGACCCAATACTGTAAAACTACTAGAAGAAAACTTATGGGAAACATTAGTCTAGGCAAAGATTTTATGGCTAAGACCTCTAAAGCACAGGCAAAAAAAGTAAAAATAGACAAATGAGACTATATTAAGCTAAAAAGCTTCTGCACAGCAAAGGAAACATCCAACAGAATGAAGCAATAACCTGTTGAATCGTGAAAATATTTACTAAGTATTCAACCAACCAGTATATTCATCCAATTAGTATATTCTAGACTAATATCTAGAATATACAAGGAACTCAAAAACTTGGCAGTAAAAAATACAAATAATCCAATTAAAAAGTGGACAAAGGATCTGAATAGACATTCCCCAAGAGGAGGCATACAAGTGGCCAGCAGGTGTGTGAAAAACACCCAACATCACTAAATACCAGGAAAATGAAAATCAAACTACAATGAGATATATCTTACCCTAACCCTAGTTAAGATGGCTATTATTAAAAAATAAAAAATAATAGATGTTGGTGAGCATGTGGAGAAAGGGGAATGTTATACACTGTTGGTGGTCATGTAAATTAGTGCAGCCATTATGGGAAACAGTAGAGTGATCTCTCAAAAAAACTGAAACTATTAATAGAACTACTATCTGATGCAACAATTCTACTTCTGAGTATTTATCCAAAGGAAATGAAGTCAATATATCAAAAGAGTACCTGCACACCCATGTTTATTGAAGCACTATTCACAATAGCAAAGATGTGAAATCAATGGTGAATTTATCAATGGGTGAATGAATAAAGTAACTGTAGTATATACACAATGGAATGCAATTCAGCCATAAAAAAAGAGTGAAATCCTGTCAGTTGCAGCAACATGGATGGAACCAGAGGTCATGTTAGGTGAAATGAGCCAGGCAAGGAAACACAAATATCACATGTTGTCACTCACATGTGTGAGCTAAAGACGTTAATCTCATGGAGGTTGAGAGTAGAATGAAAATTACCAGAGGTTGGGAAGAATGTAGGGGTGGGAAGATGTAGAGAGGTAGATTAATGGGTACAAATGTACAGTTATATAAAAAAAAAAGTTCTAATGTTCTATAGCACAGCAGGCCAACTAAAGCTAACAATTATGTATATTTAAAACAGCTAGAAGAGTGGATTTTAAATGTTCCCAACACAAGGAAATGATACATGCTTGAGGTGATGGATTCCCTAAACACCCTGACTTGATTATTCCACATTCTGTGTATGTATCAAATGATCACATGTGCCCCATAAACATATAAAATGTTATGTATTACCTTTAAAAAATATTTTTAAAATAAACTCAACACAATATGGGACATTTTAAAAAGTACAAAAATATGACCATGATAAAAATTGGCAAATATTTCCTTTTTATTAAGATCCACTTTGTAAGTTCAAGCAGAATGAAGCCCATACAGCATCAGAAGAAGTGGCTCTCCTGAGAGAATCTTCTCCCCAGTTAGAAAGGCAGAAACAGAATTCCTGGAGAAAGTAAGACTCTGGAGAACTGCATAGCACCTCTTCTTGGGGTCTGGGGTTACCCAGATGTAGGGAGGGTTCACCTTCTGGGAAAAACTAAACGTTGGTTCTTGTTCTTTTTTGTTCTTATTGCAAGACCAAAAATTGAGAAAACCAAGAGAAAGCACCAAGCCAAAGGGATATACTCTCTTTTATTTTTTAGAATATCCACTACCAAGGATGATCCACGCTGTTATGAGACGAATTGTGTCCCTCCCCAACCGAAATTCATATGTTGGAGTCCTATGTTGAGAAGACAGAAGTGGCCATCTACAAGCCAAGGAGAGAGGCCTCAGGAAAAAGCAACCCTGCAGCACCTTGACCTGCACCTGTAGCCTCCAGAACTGTGAGACAATACATATTTATTATTTTACTCACCCAGCATGTGGTACTTTGTTATGGTAGCCCTAGCAAATTAAAACAGAAATATTACCTTTTCTACTCTGTCCTATGTATGAACATGAGACTTTTTAAGAATATGAATTACCTGGGATTCCAAAACATAGAGTGAGTCAATGGAAAATAGATGATACAGGGTCATTTCCAAGCCTTTGTGGGTCTCCTGGCCACCACACAAACATGGATGTGTTCCCATTTCTTTTCAGTTTCACACAGTGCAAAAGTTGTGGACATAGAATCACAAACTGTGTTTAATTTATTTGAGACATTGAGTGAGCTAGTTTTGCCCTAATTTTATAGAAAGATGATGAACAATCATAATTACTAAACCAAAGAGGCTTTTTGGCAGGGGATGGCAGGTACTATGTTTTCTCCTCCTTTTAAAGTGCATTTTCCTAAAGAGTCTTGTCTAGGAGTAAATGTCATCACTTTGCTTTTTTCCTCCGCATTGATCACTTGGTCCTCCCTGCATTTCAGTAAGGTTGCTAGAATGGAGGCATTTGTCCATGATTCACAGATGAATCAGAGGCCCTATGAGTAGAGAGCTTCTCCTGAAGTCACACAGCTCGTGAGTGGTGGAGCAATGACAGGCACATGACTCTCCAGGTCCCTAGTCCAGTTTTCTGGGTGCCATGAGAATTACAGCCTTTGGTTCCTTTTACATGTAGTTCATTTCTGAACCTGAGAAGGAGAATGCACCTCAGGTGACTAACAGTTTTTGCTCTTCTGTACTTGTCTGAGAATGACCCCAAAAGATTTTTAAAGGCCAATTCTTTGGCTACCAACCCTATTTTGCCCAGGCATGGACATGGAGCAGGTGAACACTGCCTTTACCTGTGACATGCCTGAAGATTCTGAGACCTACGTGAATCAGGTAAGCTCCATACACAGAGGGACACCCACTCTCCCACCCACTTATTTTCTGTATCTTTTCACACTTCACTTCTTCATTCCTCCCTCTGGCTGTCTTCCCTCTTTGGGGTCTTCTAGTCCTAACCTCTGTCTCCTTCCAGGTGACTAGAGCAGGCTGGTTTGGAACAGGGCTTGTGTCGGATGAGAATTGTGCCAGGATCCTCAGTGATGGGCAGCATCACTTTAAGTTCAGTGTTAGGAGCTACCTGCTGAGACAGACGTCTCCTCCACAGTGAGTGCTGATTTCATGAAACCCTTAGTTCCTCCCTATTCCTTACTGTGTCTTCAATCCCATCATGTAGGTCATGGGCACTTAACGCATAATGAACAATTGACTGCTTCATGCCCCCTGGCCGTTGATGCTGTGTTGGGACGTTTTGCTGCCCTCTATGTGGGGTCTGTGCCTTTTCTCATATTACATCTCTTCCACCACGCCCAAGTCCATCCTCTGAACCCAGGCAGTACACCAGCATCTGCATGTGTGCTGTGTGTTCCTGCCTTGCTTTGTCCTTTCATGCCTTATTCTCACTGTGCCATGTCTCCTTCTCAGTTGAACAGATGCAGTAGGAGACTCGCTCATTCTGGAATGTGACCATCTGCCCTTCAGGAGAGGACAGCAGGGTGTGGGTGAAGGAGACCCTGCTGCCCCCACACCTGACAGCCTCCACCACCCCCTGGCTTTCCTCTTCTGCATCAGCACCACTCCCGAACCATCATTCCTGATCGTCAGAATTTTTAATGTAACTAAACATGAAACACAAGTGCATCTGCATTATGTGTGGGTGCTCTCTCCCTTTATTGTATTTGGGGTAAGATTATTTTAGGGCATGGTCCAGGGTAAATTCCTGTAAGGCCTGGATGCCCTGCTGTGAGGTCAAAGGGGGACGGACTGCAGAGCCCTGGCTCCCCAACTACCTGCCTATTTCCGGCCCTTTGTTGGGGTCTCTTCTGCTTTATCTGGCCTGAGAGAGGCTGGGATGTTTCTGATCCTGGGGCTCCTGGTGGATGGTGCGCAGTATTTCCAGGGATGGAGGGTGCTGTGGGCACTGGTGGGAAGCTTGAGTGTCTCCACCCAGGCTTTCTTGGTGCCTCCTCATCTATTCCTTCAAATTCTAGACCTTGAGCACCAGGGCCTGGGCCCCTGACCCCCTCCTGCCCTTCCAGCAGGGCCTGGTCCAGCTCCAGCAACTCCTCAGCTTGGGCCAGCTCAGCTGTGTTGGGGGCTCATGGCCCTGGTGAGGGGGAGTGGTGGAGGGAGCATCAGCCAGGGCAGGGGGCTGAGGCCCTTGGAACCTGTATTGCAGGGTCTGGCTGTAAATGAGGAATTCTACCTCCCTTTCCCTTTTTCTAGCCCATTAGCTTAAGGCCTCCTGTACTGAGAAGCCCAGGGAGCCCCTTGTCTTGGGCATAGGCCTCTGGGGGGCAAATAGAGATCCCTGGCTCAGGGAGTATAACTGGATACCTTGAACAAGGATATGGGGTCACTGGAAAGAGAGGACCGGCTGTCCCTCTCCGCTAAGAAATAATTAACTGTTAGATGAGGGGGAATTTCTGTTCAAGGGCTCTGTGGACTGTGCTGCTCTGGAGGGGGTGGGGAGAGAGAGCCCTGAGGTCTGAGCTGGGGTGTGGTTGGGAAGGAGCTGAGAGCTCAGAGCTGGAACTAGGCAAGGAGCTGCAGGGGTGAGGGTGGTGCAGGGTGGGATTTAGAGGATTTCCCCTGACTCCTGTGCTGATCCCCTTCAAGTCCTCCACCCCCACCCTTGGTGTCCGTCAACATGCTGGGGTGACCTCATCTTCCCACTGTCCCTGGAGCTGTTCTACTCTTCCACGCTTGCCTTGGGGTTTTCAGAGCAGCATCTTTGTGAGTCCTGGAGAGCTAGGGACCAGGAGGGCAGGAGGAGGTGAAGACAACAGCACCAAGAGATCCTGGAAGAGAAAGGACCATGGTAGCTGAGGCAGGGAGCAGTCTGAGTTGCCTAGAAGACACCAAGAGTTCGCTCCCTCCAGGCCTTGGCTTTGCTTCAGCACCTGGTGCTGCATAGGCCCCACCCCTGCCCTGCTCTGCTGCCTCCACCTCCCTCTCAGCCTGGTCCCAGACAGAATCCAGACCAATTCCTGTTTCTGATGTGAAAAATGATCCTGACAGTTTAGGCAGAGCTTGCTTTAGAGCACTGGTGCCCAGCCTTCCACAGGTCTTGTGTCTGTTTTTCTTGGCACTGGGTTTCTTCTCACTTATTCTTCTGAATTGGCAAGGCAGGAATTACATCACTAGTTTGCAGATGAGGAAACTGACTCGTATGGGCTCATTCAGCACTCACTCACTGGGCAAGTGTCTGTCAGGGCCAACTGTGGGCCAGATGTGCCCAGGGCTCTATAGCTAGCTGGTGGAAGGGCCTGGAGGGTTCATATTCAGGTCCACCTGACTTGAAAACTCATATTGACCTTACTTAAGTACTGATTCCCGATTTACAATCCATGCCACAAACTTTATTGTCATATCTAAAGAAGTTGCCACAGCAGCCTTTAGCAACCACCCTCCTGATCAGCCAATAGTCAACACTGAGGCAAGACCCTCCCCCAGCAAAAAGATTAGCAAAACCTCCACACCCTCTCTCAGGATGTTCCTGCACCTCACAGCTACAGCAGCAACCTGGTCTCCCTGAGGACACGACCCCCTCCAAAGTCCTCCCACATGGGGGAGTTTTCCCAGGGACTTGTACCCCTGGGTTCAGAGGTGAGGTGGGGTCCTTGCTCCTCACTGTGGTTCTCACACCTTTCTCCCTCCCTCCTCCCTAAACCCCTAAGCTGTCAGCAGATTAGGGCCCCATTCCCCATGTTGTAGCCATTCCCTTTGTGCCCCAAGCCATTCCTCTTAATCCTGACCCTTGTAGCTCCTGGTTCACTGTCACCCTCTCCAGCAGTGCGTCTCCTTGACTCTTGGTGACTTCAACATACGCAGATGTGGTGGGCTGAGTAATGGTCCCCAAAGATGTCCAGGCTTAATCGTTGGAACATGTGAATAGGTTGCATTGCATGGCAAAAGGGACATTAATCATGTAATGAAGATTAAGGACCTTAAAATAGGGAGAGTATCCTGGACTATCTGCGTGGGCCCAATCAAATCACATGAGCCATTAAAAGCAGAGAAACTGCCCTGGCTGGAGTCAGATTCTGCAGAAGAGGAAACAGAGGAGAAGCTGGAGAGAGGAGGTCAGATGTTCCAAGCAGGAGGACTGGATGTGCCTTAGGCGCCATGTGTGAGTACCTGAGAGAAAACTCTAGGAGCTAAGGGTGGCTCTTAACAAGGAAGTGGAAATCTCTGTTCTATCTGCAAGGAAGTGAATTCAGACAAGAACTTGAATGAGCTTGGAAGTGGATTCTTCCCCAGTCTCCAGGAAGGAATGCAGGCCTTCCCGTACATTGATCTTAGCCCCATGAGACTGTGTGGACTTGCAACCCACATGACTGTGACATGATAATTAGGTGCTGTTTAAAGCCACTTGGTTTGTGGTAATTTTTATGGCAGCAACAGACACCTATACAGCAGAGAAGATGCCCTTGCTCCCTGGACTCTCAGATCCTGTAACTCCTCTCCTCCATGACCTTCTCCTCTCTCTGCCTGAATCTCATGCCCTTGTCATCCCCTAGGCCTCATCACGGCCAAGAACCCCAGCCCTTCCATACTCTCAATCTCACACTTCCCACTCTCTGGCCATCTTTCCACTCATCCCCTTGCAAGGTGGCCACAGGCTCTGATGACACAGACACTATCATTTTATCATATGCTGTGATGTAATATCAATGAACCACTCATTTCCTATGTGCCTGCATTCCAGGCTTGGAGTCCACCCTGTGGTACATCAATTCCAACAATCCTTCCAGCCCACTGGGATTCCCAATTGAGTGATCCTGCCATCTACTCCCTGTCACTCACCCTTGGTGTCCTCTCCTCCCTCTTCTCCCATTTTGAATTCTACAGTAAATAATTTCAATCCCTCCCTTGCCTCTCCCTTGCATTGTCATACTCACCTGGCAAAACTACACAGCTGGTGGGTTCCACCTCTGTCTATGCTGCACCTGCCCCATGAGCTGCAGGAGGCTGGACAGCAGCACACAACATGCTGACTGGTCTCTTTAAGATTCCAAACCTCATGGGGAGCCCCTACCATTGACGTGGCCAGCAATCACCCTCTCCCTACGTGGTTCACCCTCAGCCTCCTCTTGGCCTGGGTGACTCCTAGACACCTTCTCTCTGTGCTCACACATCCAACCCTTCTTCCCCATTCTTACCTCAGCTGACAACCTTGCCTCCTACCTCACTGAGAAAACTGAACACATTAGAAGACAACTTCCCCGATTCCACCACTGTCTGCTCATGCATTTGCAGCTGCACCACATGTCAGGCATTTTACCACGGGAGGGATTGCTGGGGGTTAACAATTCTGCTCCCAGTCAGAGCCAGTCCCTCTTCTGGTGCCCCAAACATCATCCCTTCTCATCTACTTAAAGTTGTCAGTTCATCAACTAGTATCTTTTTTTATCTTTATCATCAACTTTTTCCCTCTCTCCCCACTGGATCATTGTGGCAGTCATGAGAATGCACATCCCAGCCCCTCAGCTACAGGAAGCAGAATCGATGATGACCCCAGCTCTTGAAGCTTGAAATCTATTGCCACATTTGCTCTGATCCCACACCTGCCCCCTGATCTTTTCCAGCCAATGATTGAGGAAAGCAGGGCAGAAACTAAGGCAGGAATATTTCTCCTCTGAAGGCTGACTGCAGCCCCAGGGCTCCCTGCCTCCTTTACTAAATTTCCCTTAGCCTGCACAGGGTCTAGGATGCTTCCAGCTGAACTTCCTGCCCTCTCTCCTTCACTGGGGCTCAGAGTTGCAGTGTGGTCTGATGGCTCTCCCAGTGTTTTCTGTCTCTCTCCTGAATTTCTCTCACAAGTATTTCCCTGAATAAATCCTTGCACATTTACTACCGTATTGGGCTCTGCTCCTCAGGGGACCCTAACTAACCCAAGCGGTATGAAGGGTGACCCATGAAAACAGGCAAAAATGGGAATTTGAAATAATCTTGCCCACTGCCTGGCAGGCCAAGAGGATGCCACCCGGGTTGGTGGGGGACACAGAAAGTCCATGGCATAAGGTGCAGCTGAGGTGCTGTGGTCTCCTCAGTGCTGAGCTGAGAAGATGCCCTGGTTAGGGGAAGCTATGGCAGGTGAGGTGATAGAATGCCCTACACAATAATGATGAGGTTGGGGGAAACCTACAAAGACAGAGGAGTTGGGTGGTTACTGCTTGGCTGCGTTGATACCCTATAAAAGGATCATGAGAATCTGCGGGTTGTTAACAGCTGTCACTGGCTACAGGTGACAGCCTCTGCAGTGTCTCATGGAGAGGCCTTTATCTCCTGTAGCGAAAGGGCAGATAGCGTGGAATGGCAGCTGAAGACATCATTACGAGGGCCACAGTGCTCCAGACATGTCTGACACTCAGCCAAAGCAGGCCTGTTACAGGAAAGTCAGGGTCCTGGTGGGGAAACCTGAGATTCTGGAAACTGGAACCAGGATATCCGATGGGTGCCCTCCAGGACCCTCTGGGAATGCAGAGGAGGCTCACCATTATCTAATAATGGTTCCCACTTCCTACGCTGGAAGATGCTGCAAAAGCCTCACCCCCGTGATTCTGCGGGAATCCTACTCAGCAGCTTTGCAGGAATTAGCCGCCATTTCCCCACAGGAGCCCAAGGAGCACTTCTGGGATTGGAATTTGAGGGCGTTTGATCAAGAAACCAGAATTTCAGGCTGGATGAATAAAAATCCTTTGGCTTGGAGGCACTTTCTCAAGGCATGGGTTTGTCAAACACCCCAGGACTTTGATAAGTGGAGCTAAACCCACCGCTGGGGTGAATCCATATAGATTGGAAAAAAAGATGCCCAACTCTCAACAAGGTAGACATGTCTTAGTTGCCCTGGAACATGTAAAGGAAGGAATAACGAGGCTGAGGGAAGTGGGCATGGTGAAGGCCCACCAGGGCCATGCTCCACAAGAGGGCCCAGAGGACACAACCTTCCACCAGAGCCTCAGGAACATGATGGTGAAAGGGACCTGCATCACTAAGTATAGGGGTGTTGTCCTCTGCAGGCTGCAGGTGATGGTAATAAAGATGGTCCCAGAGTTGCATTTATCCATATCCCTGGGGAGAGTGTGGCCCTGAAGAGACAGAGAAGAAGTGGTGGCAGTGACCTGAAAAAGCAGAGGGCATGGTTACTATGGCAACTTCAGAGTAGCAGCCAGGAGGACTCAAGTTGCAGGGAATGTGGGGAAGGTTAATAGAGGGTGGTGTCCCAGGGTTAGGACAGGCAGCCAACAAGGGCGCTGCTTGATATCTATGATAGGAATGAAAGAATTGAGGAGCAGGAGGGTGAAGGTGTTTGACCCAATACAAAGTCATGATCCCATCCTCAATGCCTAGACCTCAGCCAAGATTCAGATTCAGATCTCAGTGACAGAGGAGGAGTCCATATCCCTAGGAGGAAGACCCTGCAACCCTGTGGAAGTATATGCTGGCACAATTCCCTCAATCATTTGGCAAAGGAACCTATAGACATTTACTTGGGTGGTTGTACACTGGGGAAAGGAAACACGCAGAACTGGAGGGATTATTGACACTGGGTGTGAGCTGACATTGATGCCCAGATGCCCACAGCACTCATGTCTCCCATCACAGTGGGGCTTATGGAGGCCAGGGAGTAAACCTGGACAAATTATGGCCCACAATGGGACCACTGGGCCAACAGACCCAACGCTGGATATCTTTCAATTCCCTGAGTGCATGATTGACACTGCTGCACTGCTAAGTGGAGTCACCCCCACACTGGGTCCCTAGTCTGTGGAGTAAGGACTCTCATTGTGCTGAAAGCCAAACGGAAACCTCTGACACTGCCCACATCCTGGCCAAATCAAAAACCATAGTGTGTCCCAGGGTGGGTCTTGTGGAAGACACTGAAAGTATTATGGGGTCGCACCAACATTAGAGAGCTGAAGGATGTGGGGTGGTGTTGGGGCTGTCTATTGTCTCTATGTAATCCAGCAACCTGTCCCTGAGGGAAACTGGTAAGGCCTAAAGAATGAATGAGATTACTCCAGGTCTGGCCAAGTAGGAGTTATAATTGCAGCTTTTATGTTGTCTGGTTATCACTGGTAGAGCAGGTTAATAAAGCCCCGGGCACACAGTGTGCCGCTGTGGATTTGGTGAGTGCATTCCTTTCCACTCCAATTAGAAAGTGGATATGGGCTGGGCGCAGTAGCTCATGCCTGTAATCCCAGCTTTGGGAGGCCGAGGCCGGTGGATTACCTGAGGTCAGGAGTTCTAGACCATCCTGGCCAACATGGCAAAACCCCGTCTCTATTAAAAATACAAAAATTAGCCAGGCATCATGTCAGGTGCCTGTAATCCCAGCTACTCGGGGGGCCAAGGCAGGAGAATCACTTGAACACAGAAGGCAGAGGTTGCAGTGAGCCGAGATCACGCCATTGCACTCCAGCCTAGGGGACAAGAGCAAGACTTTGTCAAAAAAGAAAGGAAGGAAGGAAGGAAGGAAGGAAGAGGATATGGAGTGATTCACATTCATGTGGAATCAACGACACATTTATTTATTGTTTGCCTCAGGGCTATTGTAACACCTGTGCCCTCTATAGTATAGGCTTAAGACTGTACTGGACATACTGCATATCCTTTAGGATATTAAATCAGCACATTTCATTGACAACTTCATGTTGACTGGAGTAGATGAGCAGCAGGAAGAAAGTGCACTGTAGTCCTTTGCAAAACACACGCACCCCACAAGGTGAAGATAAACCTTATACAGCTTCAAAGGTGGGCACTGAAGTGAAGTTTTATGGGTGAACAAGTGCCAAGTGTTTAGGGGAATGCAGGTGTGTCCCCTCCAAGGTAAAAGAAAAACTGTTGCATCTTGCATCCTCACCAGAAGCAAGGAAGCACACTGCTTGGTGAGCCTCTTTGAATTATAACAACACCACATTCCACATCTAGACATTTTGCTTTGGCCCACAGTCTAGGTGACATAGGAGGATGCCAGCTTCAAGTGGGGCCTACACAGGAAAGGACCCTGCAGCAGATCCAGGCCATGGTACAAGCAGCCACCATCCCTCAGACCCCTGGGGCTGGTGGTGCCAGTGGTGGGGAAAGACACAGGATGGAGCTGAACCAAGCACCAGTGGGAGAGTCACAGTGGAGGGCCTGGGATTCTGGAGTAAGATCATGTCATCCACAGCAGAGACACATGCCCCCTGTTAGAAGCAACTTTTAGTGTTCCTTGTCCTGATTCAATAGAATGTTTGACCACGGGATACCAAGCAACTACGGGGTTCCAAGTGCCTGTGTGACCCACAAAGTCATAGATGGTACAGGCCCAACAGCATTCATCATCAGGTGAAAACAGTCCACCTGGGTTGAGCTTGAATCCCTTGCTGACACCCACAGAAAACACCCAAGTCTGAAGTGGCACTGAACTACCAAACAGACAAATGGCAGTTAGCCAGCTTTCACCATGGGTCAGCCCAGGCCTGGTAGGATGAGTGCATGAATGGAGCAACCACAGTGGCAGGCATGAGGCTCCGTAAGGGGCCAGCAGCACTGACTTCCCCACACCAAGGCAGATCCAGCTGCTGCCACCTCTGAATGTCCAACTCATCAGCAATTGAGGCCCATGATGTGCCCTAGTGGGGCACTATTTCTTTACATGACTACCCACTAAGTAACAAGTTGACTACATTTAGCTACTTCCAACCTGGAAGGGCCAGAGTTTCATCTTCACAGGGTTAGGTACCGATTCTATGGGTGGGTTTTCCTGTCCTGCTCTCAGACACAGCCAGCACCACTCTCTGGGTGCTGTTGACATTCCTGGTCTGCAGGCTAGGCAGTGCTCCTAGCCCATTATCTGCCTGAAGGACCCACTTTGCAGGGAAAGTTTCAGTGTTTCCACGGCTGTGGGTTCCACTAATCCTATCACCATCTGCACTACCCAGGAGCTGCCAGCCACAAGGAAGGCTGGACAGGTCTTCTACAGGCACAACTCAGTGCCAGCCTGGAGGAAGCACTCTGAGGGGTGGGTGCCATCTTTCAGGACACAGTGCATTGTTTGAATCAGAGACGTCTCTAGAGTTCTGTGTTCTCAATAGGAAGAACATGTGTGTCCAGAAATCAAAAGGCGGAAGCAGGTTTGGCTCCATGTCCAATCTCTTAGATTCACTCAATGGGGTATTTCGCATATTTTATCTCCCAACACTGGGCTGTGCAGGATACGAGGTTCTGGTTTCCAAAGGAGTGTACCCCTAAAAGGAGACAAAAGACAGCCCACTGAACTACACATTACTTTAGTCACCAGAGAAGTTTGGACAGTGTGTGCCCAGATACCACTTGGTGAGAAGAAGATTCTCCTCCTCTCCAGGCCCAGGTAATAAATAGATCCTCATCCCCAGGAGAAGGCATGGCTGTTTCACACAAGGGTAGAAGTGTGTGTGGAAACCAGAGATCCACCTGGGAGCCTTCTGGTTTCCCTTGCCCCATTGTAAGTGTGAGCAGAATCATCCAGCAATTCAGCCTGAGAGGATTTGATTTCCAAGGGCCCAGACCCGTCAGGGCAGAAGGTTTGAGTCACACTTGTGGGCAATCTCCCAAGGCCCTGCTCTTGTGTTCTGACATCCTCAGTACATTGGTGCTGAGGCCCTCTTCCCATGGGCTGTTCCCAATGACTGATGGGTCATACCAGTGACACTAAGGCAGGACATTCCTAGGAGACAGGGGACTCCTCTGATGGCCAATTGTAGCTCGAGGACTCCTCTATGGCCTTGCTCAGTGAAGTCCTCAGATGATGCAGGCCTAGGCTGACAACTGGACTGCAACCTTGTGAGAGGCCCTGAGCCAGAAGCACTCAGGGAAACCTCTCCTGGATTTCTGATCATTGGAAACTGTGGGAGATGAGGAATATTTGTTGTTCTGAGCTGCTAAGTTTTACATAATTTGTTATGCATAGTAAATAACTAATACATTTTCACAAGACAGGATGCATTATTACATGTTAATTTGCATTTGCTCTAAATTTATCATCATCATTATTATTATTTTTGAGACAGGGTCTCACTCTGTCACCCAGGCTGGAGTGCAGTGGCATGATCACCATGCACTGCAGTGTCGACCTCCTGGGCTCAAGGGATCCTCTGACCTTAGCCTCCTGAGTAGCTGGGACTATAGTCATGAACCACCATGCCAGGCTAATTTTCTAGTTTTTTTGTAGAGATGAGAGTTTCACCATGTTGCCCAGGCTGATCTTGAACTTCTGGAGTCAACAAGTCTGCCTTCCTCTGCCTTCCATAGTGCTAGGATGGCAGGCGTGAGCCACCACCCCTGCCTAACTTAATTATAAGACATTAAACATGTAACTTAGTTTTAAAAGGAAAGGAGAAGTTCCATGGCTGAAGAGGATGTATTTTATTATCGTTCACAATGATCACTTTACTTGAACTTCAATTTCCAACTGTGTCCCAATTAAACACAAAAGGAAGATTCATCCCTTGCTAGAGTGATTCTATGATGGCCCCAACAACCACCTCCTGGTCATTCACCTTCCCCCAGTTATTCAACCAACTCTAATGTAGGTGCTGCTGTGAAGGAATTTAGCAGACATAATAAAGGGGCTCAATTAGTTGACTTCAGGCTGGGTTTATGCTGCTTGGACTGTCCTAATCAGGAGAGTCCTTGAAAGGACTGGGTTCTTCCTGAGCATAGAGATTCACAGTGTGAGAGGGATTCAGCATGAGGGGTTTCCTCCACTGTGGGCTTTGAAAATGAAGGGGCTGTGTAGGAAACAACACTGGTGGGCACCAGGAATTGAGTACAGCCCTCCCTGTTCTCTACATTGACAGCCAGCAAGGAACAGGGACCTCAGTCTTAAAACTGCAAGAAAGCACATTCTGCCACCTCTGTATAAGCCTAAAGGAGGATTCAAAATGAAGACTCAGATTTGGGAAGCCTGGAACAGAGATTCCATCTACATCATGCCCAGATTTCTGACTAAGGTACTATAAACAGATAAATGGGTGTTTTTTGGCCAGGCGTGGTGGTGCACTCCTGTAATCCTAACATTTGAGGAGCTGACACAGGAGGATCACTTGCAGCCAGGAGTGTGAGACCAGCCCAGGTAATACAGTGAGACACTCGTCTCTACACTTTTTTTTTTAATTAGCTGGGTGTGGTGGCACTTGTCTGCAGTCCTGTCTACTCTGAAGACTGAGGCAGGAGGATTCCTTGAGCCCAGGAGTTTGAGGCTGCAGTGAGCCATGATCATGTGACTGCACTTCACGCTGGATGACAGTTTTTAGAGACTCTGTCTCTAAAAACAAATAAATGAATACAATAAATAAAAACAAATAAATAAATACAATAAATGGGTGTTGTTTAAAGCCAATGTTTGTGATAATTTTTTACACAGTCTTATAAAATTCATACACAGGCTCAACAGACTAATGGAATGAACTGATGAATTGATATATACACTAGTTACATAAAATAAAATCTTTCTGAACTTTTTCAGTGTTTTGCATTTTATAATTATCTGTGATGCAATTTAATATACTCATATTTCATTCATTCAGTCAACAAAAATTAATTTAGTCCCTACAATGAACCAGGTATCCCCTCATATGCTCACGTGCCTGACATTCTAGAAGCTTCACAAGACCAAGGTGGAGCCACTGGAGTGTTTTAGGTGGAGAAATGACACACTTTGACTCACATTAGCAGGACCACTGTGGAGAGAACAGTCACGTAGCAGGTAACGGGAGAGTGCCAGTGTCACAATTCAGGAGTGACAGTGTGATGGGGACTAAGGGGAGAGGAGGGGCTGAGTGATAAGAGGGACGGAGGGAAGGGCTGGAGAAGCAGTAGGTGAGGAAAAGGAGTAGAGGGATAGAATTCAAAAGCAGCACAACTCTTAGGTTTGAACACTTTTTTTAATGGTATTTCAATAGATCCATCTACAGAGCCTCGCAGGGTGTTACTTGCAGTTGGCCTTTAATACCTTAAGTGGGTCTGCTTAAAAACTAATTGTTTTTATGTTAATCAGGTTTTAAAAATACTAAGTGTTCCTAAGAAATATACACACCACTTAGATGTGGATACTTCCTAAAAACAGGCAGTGCATGAGCACTGGTGATGGACATTGTGACTGCATCGAGCGCTTGCAACTTTGAGGTGAATGAAGTCTGTACTGACTCCTGGTTGCAACACATAGGAACACAGTGGCTACTTTGTATTGAGGAGATGTCCTGGACTCACAGAAACTCAGGGCTACGGAATAAAGGTAAATTTAAAACACCACAAGCGGGAGTCACAGATACCTTGTTTGCAAAAGTGAAACTTAGGAGCTTTGTGAGTCCTGTTGTAATGCTTTTAGACACTTTATATATCAAGGGGCCAAAGTCACATGTTTTTACCGATTAGATTCCTGATCATTCAGGGGTTACCAAGATTCTGCTACCCACTGTAGTTAATACACAAAAAGCAAACTGGTCTCTATACTATCTCATGCACCCAGGCACAACTTTTCCAGATTTAAAGAAAAAGAAAAAAGAAATAAAAGAAAAAAACCTCTGTCTCTACACCTCCATTCCCAGGGAGAGCTCCCTCTCTGGCACCAAGCTCCCTGGGGTGAGTTTTCTTTTTGAAGAGTCCAGGGGAACAGGTAAGCAGTGGGGAAGCAGGGAGTCCATTTCAGGGACAGGAATTCCCGGATGAAAAGTGAAAGGAGAGGGACGGGGCCCAAGCTGAGGGTTTCTTCCTGGTTTCTCGGACAGCTCCTGGACCAAGACTCAGGGAACATTGAGACAGAGCGTTTGTCACAGGAGGAGCGGGGTCAGGGCGAAGTCCCAGAGCCCCAGGCATGGCTCTCAGGGTCTCAGGCCCCGAAGGCGGTGCATGGGCTGGGGAGGTGCAGCATTGGGGATTCCCCATCTCCGCAGAGTTTCTCTTCTCCCTCTCCCAGCCTGCGACGGGTCCTTCTTCCTGGACACTCACGACGCGGACCCAGTTCTCACTCCCACTGAGTGTCGGGTTTCTAGGGAAGCCAATCAGCGTCGCGCGGCCCCGGTTCTAAAGTCCCCACGCACCCACCGGGACTCGGAGTCTCCCCAGACGCCGACGATGGGGTCATGGCGCCCCGAACCCTCCTCCTGCTGCTCTCGGGGACCCTGGCCCTGGCCGAGACCTGGGCGGGTGAGTGCGGGGTCAGGAGGGAAACGGCCTCTGCCGTGAGGAGCGAAAGGTCCACCTGGCTGGGGCGCAGGACCCGGGGAGCCGCGCCGGGAGGAGGGTCGGGCGGGTCTCAGCCCCTCCTCGCCCCCAGGCTCCCACTCCATGAGGTATTTCAGCACCGCCGTTTCCTGGCCGGGCCGCGGGGAGCCCAGCTTCATTGCCGTGGGCTACGTGGACGACACGCAGTTCGTGCGGGTCGACAGTGACGCCGTGAGTCTGAGGATGAAGACGCGGGCGCGGTGGGTGGAGCAGGAGGGGCCGGAGTATTGGGACCTACAGACACTGGGCGCCAAGGCCCAGGCACAGACTGACCGAGTGAACCTGCGGACCCTGCTCCGCTACTACAACCAGAGCGAGGCGGGTGAGTGACCCCGGCCCGGGGCGCAGATCACTTACTCCCCGCTCCATGCCTCACGGACGGCCCTGGTCCCCTGAGTCTCCGGGTCCAAGATCGACCCCGAGGCTGCGGGACCTGCAGAGATCCTCGACCCGGGAGAGCCCCAGGCGCCTTTACCTGGTTTCATCTTCAGTTGAGGCCAAAATCTCCGCAGGTTGCTAGGGGCCGGGCCAGGGCTCGGTGGGCGGGGCTGACCGCGGGAACTGGGCCAGGGTATCACATCCTCCAGGGAATGTTTGGCTGCGACCTGGGGCCCGACGGGCGTCTCCTCCGCGGGTATGAGCAGTATGCCTACGACGGCAAGGATTACATCGCCCTGAACGAGGACCTGCGCTCCTGGACCGCCGCGGATACCGCGGCTCAGATTACCCAGCGCAAGTATGAGGCGGCCAATGTGGCTGAGCAAAGGAGAGCCTACCTGGAGGGCACCTGCATGGAGTGGCTCCGCAGACACCTGGAGAACGGGAAGGAGACGCTGCAGCGCGCGGGTACCAGGGGCCATGGGGAGCCTGCTCGATCTCCTGTAGATCTCCCGGGCTGGCCTCGCACAAGGAGGGGAAGAAAATGGAACCACCACCAGAATATCGCCCTCCCTCCTGTCCTGACGGAGAGGAATCCTCCTGGGTTTCCAGATCCTGTATCAGAGATTGACTCTGAGGGCCCACCCTGCTCTTCCTGGGACAATTAAGGGATGAAGTCTCTGAGGGAGTGGAGGGGAAGACAATCCCTGGAAGACTGATCCGCGGTCCCCTTTCACCCCACAGCAACCTTGGGCACCAGGACTTTTCCTCCCGGGCCTTGTTCTCTGCCTCACACTCAATGTGTCGGAGTCTGACTCCAGCTCCTCTGAGTCCCTTGGCCTCCACTCAGATCAGGACCAGAAGTCCCTGCTACCCTGCTCAGAGACTAGAACTTTCCAAGGAATAGGAGATTATCCCAGGCGCCTGTGTCCAGGCTGGTGTCTGGGCTCTGTGCTCCCTTCCCCACCCCAGGTGTCCTATTCATCAGGATGGTCACATGGGCGCTGCTGGGGTGTCCCATGAGGAATGCAAAGTGCCTGAGTTTTCCGACTCTTCCTTTCAGACCCCCCCCAAGACACACGTGACCCACCCCCCTCTCTGAACATGAGGCATAACGAGGTCCTGGGTTCTGGGCTTCTACCCTGCGGAGATCACATTGACCTGGCAGCGGGATGGGGAGGACCAGACCCAGGACATGGAGCTCGTGGAGACCAGGCCCACAGGGGATGGAACCTTCCAGAAGTGGGCGGTTGTGGTAGTGCCTTCTGGAGAGGAACAGAGATACACATGCCATGTGCAGCACAAGGGGCTGCCCAAGCCCCTCATCCTGAGATGGGGTAAGGAGAGAGATGGGGGCGGCCATGTCTCTTAGGGAAAGCAGGAGCCCCTCTGGAGACCTTTAGCAGGGTCGGGGCTGGGTCCTGGAGGTCAGAACCCTCACATTCCCCTCCTTTCCCAGAGCCCTCTCCCCAGCCCACCATCCCCATTGTGGGTATCATTGCTGGCCTGGTTCTCCTTGGAGCTGTGGTCACTGGAGCTGTGGTCACTGCTGTGATGTGGAGGAAGAAGAGCTCAGGTGGGGAAGGGGTGAGGAGTCGGGTTTGAGTTTTCTTGTCCCACTGGGGGTTTCAAGCTCCAGGTAGAAATGTGTTCTGCCTGGTTACCGGGAAGCACCATCCACATTCATGGGCCTACCCAGCCTGGGCCCTGTGTGCCAGCACTTACTCTTTTGTAAGCACCTGTGACAATGAAGGACAGATTTCTCACCTTGATGATTGTAGTGATGGGGATCTGACCCCAGTAATCACAGGTCAGGGGAAGGTCCCTGCTGAGGACAGACCTTAGGAGGGCAGTTGGTCCAGGACCCACATCTGCTTTCCTTGTTTCTCCTGATCCTGCCCTTGGTTTGCAGTCACACATTTCTGGAAACTTCTCGAGGTTCCAAGACTAGGAGGTTCCTCTAGGACCTCATGGCCCTGCTACCTTCCTGGCCTCTCACAGGACGTTTTCTTCCCGCAGATAGAAAAGGAGGGAGCTACTCTCAGGCTGCAAGTAAGTATGAAGGAGGCTGATCCCTGAGATCCTTGGGATATTGTGGTTGGGAGCCCATGGGGGAGCTCACCCACCCCACAATTCCTCCTCTAGCCACATCTCCTGTGGGATCTGACCAGGTTCTGTTTTTGTTCTACCCCAGGCAGCCAAAGTGCCCAGGGCTCTGATGTGTCTCTCACGGCTTGTAAAGGTGAGACCCTGGGGAGGCTGATGTGTGTGGGTTGTTGGGGTAACAGTGGATATAGCTGTGCTATGGGGTTTCTTTGACTTGGATGTATTCAGCACATGATGGGCTGTTGAAGGTGTGACCCCTCACTGTGAGTGATATGAATTTGTTCATGAATATTTTTTCTATAGTGTGAGACAGCTGCCTTGTGTGGGACTGAGAGGCAAGATTTGTTCATGCCTTCCCTTTGTGACTTCAAGAACCCTGACTTCTCTTTCTGCAAAGGCATCTGAATGTGTCTGTGTCCCTATAGGCATAATGTGAGGTGGTGGGGAGACCAGCCCACACCCGTGTCCACCATGACCCTGTTCCCCACACTGACCTACATTCCTTCCCCGATCACCTTTCCTGTTCCAGAGAAGTGGTGCTGGGATGTCTCCATCTCTGTCTCAACTTCATGGTGCACTGAGCTGTAACTTCTTACTTCCCTATTAAAATTAGAATCTGAGTATAAATTTACTTTTTTCAAATTATTTCCATGACGGGTTGATGGGTTAATTAAAGGAGAAGATTCCTAAAATTTGAGAGACAAAATAAATGGAAGACATGAGAACCTTCCAGAGTCCACGTGTTTCTTGTGCTGATTTGTTGCAGGGGAGGAGAGTAGATGGGGCTGTGCCCAGTGTGTGCTCAGGCCACCATGGGCTTTATGTGGTCACAGCTCACCTGGGTCATCTTTGCTGCTCCACTGTCCTTGGCCCTTCAGTAGAACCTTGTCCCACCAGGACCTGTGATCACAGGGACTTGGATGTCACCTAGGGTGGTCCCTACACATCGAAGTCCTTCCGGTATGAAGAGACAAATTTTCAGTCCCCTGTATCTTTTGCCCTCCTTCCAGGTCTCTTTCCTGGATTGTATTTTCCATCTTTTTCCCCAGCCTTCTTAAAGGAAGCAGATTCTGAAATTTGCAGAGAGGAGGGGTCCCATAGTTTCTCATCGTAGGTAACTTTCTGTTGGAACTCCTCTTCTGCTTTCCTACTCTTCTTCCTGCCTGAGTTGTAGTAATCCCAGTGCTGGCTCCAATCCAAACTCATGCATTTATAAAGCAGAGTCTGATTTAGATTTATATGGGGTTGGAAAATTGGACCCACAAGGCTAGGATTATCTTTCCTGAACAGAAAAATATGGCTGTGCGCTGCAGTGTGCAGGAGGGTTGGTGTGGGAGGAGGTGAGAAGGACACACAAGCAGCCCTGGTGAGAAAAGCACTGGCAGCACTGATGTTGGTGTGAGATGATGTTGTTCTTTAGCTACGTTAATAAAGATATTGCCTTTAGAATACAGAGGTGCTCTACAGTGATCATTCATTCAACTGACATTTGTTGTCTGCTAGGTATATGACTGTTTTTGCATTTAGAAAACATCATTAAAGTAAAAACAGAAAAATTTCTGGCCTTGTGGTGTATACGTTCTAGATGCAAGCTTGTCCAACCTGCAGCTCTCGGGCTGCGTGTGGCCCGGGACAGCTTTGAATGTAAGAAGTTTTTTTGCTTATCTGTGGTAGCAAATATCATGAAAATTATGCACGCACATGTTTTTCTTTTTTCTATTCTTTCTGCTCATCAGCTGTCATTAGTGTATTTTATGTGTGGCTCAAGACAATGCTTATTCTTCCCAACTGGCCCAGGGAAGCCAAAAAATTGGACACCTCTGTAGGCAGATGATAGATATAGTATAAGCAGAGTAGGAACAGAAAATGCTTGAGTTAGAAGGTGGCAAGTGCTGTGTGGCAGGTGATCCAGAGGGTGGGCTGTGGGGACAGGAAGGTGGCTGTTGTGCTGGGTGGTCAGCATGGGCCTTGTTGCAAATGTGACCTTGGAGTAAAGATTTGAGGGATGTGAGGAGTTGTCTACAAGGATGTCTGGGAAAGTTCTTTTCAGGCAGGGGAACCTTCAGTGCAGATGCACTAGGGCAGGAAATTGTCTGTGTTCCTGGAAGGAGGAAGAGGCCAGAAGGGCTGGACACAGAGAAACTGAAGTGAGGTCAAAGGTGTGGCTAGAGCAGGTAGCCCTGAAGGGTGTGGGAAGGGTGTTGACCTTTGCTCTGAATGACATGGGGAGGACAGTTTTGAAAAGTGGGACATGGTAGGGCTCATCCTTTGAAAGCTTCTTTCTGGCTGCTGTGCTGAGAACAGAATTGAGAGGTGGGGAACCAGTGATGCAGTGGGGAAAATGGTGGGAAAGGAGTACAGTATTCTAGGATGGACACGTTGCTTACCTTGACTAGGGTGTGAGCAGGGGAAATAGTGAGAAGTGAAGGGATTCTGGATGAATTTGAAGATGGACTCACAGCACTTGCTAATGGATGTGAGAAGAAGAATCAAGGACACCCACAGTATTGGACTGAGTGAGCAGAAGGGTGGAGCTGCTGTCAGTGGAGATAGGGAGACTCTGGCAGGAGTACACAGAGGAGAGGGCATCGCAGGCATTCAATGGAGGAGACATCTATGAGGAATGCAGGTGAGGGGCCCAGATGCCTCTGCAGCTACAGATTCATCATCCAATCACTCTCCTACTCCCACCACCCCTGTGTCTCAGAGCCAGAGCACTGATTCTCCCCTGGGCTGTGGGCACAGGTAGGTGAAAGTCAGGGAAGTTGTGGTCTGCTATTGGTTATAATAAGTCACAGATCATTATGCTTTCTCAGATAATTAAAGAAATAATAAGAGAATGTGTAATTAGGACACTTAGAAGACTACAATAATGCAAAGGTTTTTATTCATCTAAAGAAGGTAACATAAGAAAAATAGTTGAGCAAGAAAGAGATAATATTAGAAGGCAGCAAATGACAATGGACAGACTTAAACCCAATGAGGTCAATAATTACATTAAACATAATGGACTCAGACACTCCAATTACAAGACAAATAGTGCAGGGGGGTAAAAATAAATAACTAAATAAATAATCATGGGCTGTTTACAAAAGACATAATTTCAGTAGAAGGTAAAGAAAAGTTGAAAGTAAAAGGATAGAGAATACCAGACAAACATTCATGAAAGACCACATGGAGACGCCATTTAGAAAAATTACAGGATATGAGTCTCCTGAGACATAGAGTACACGTAGACAGCTCACAAGGTCTTTTTCCCTTTTTTCAGAGACAGGGTCTGTTGCCCAGGTTGAAATGCAATGGTGATATCATACCTTACTGTAACCTCAAACTCCTGGGCTGGAGCAATTCTCCTGCCTCAGCCTTCCGAGTAGCTAGGACCACAAGCCTGTGCCGCCACACCTGGCTATAATGTCTCATTTTCTCATTTGCTGTGGTGTGAACAAGGAAACAATACCATGCCATGTATTTGACTTGCAGCAGGCACACAACAAATGTCAGGTGAATTAAGAAATAAAACCACTTAGTAATCCAAGCCATATCCACATTTACATCTTACAGATGAGGAGCAACATCCCAGACAAGTAAAGTAAAATAAATTGATTTACATCATCCAGAGCAGAATCGAGAACACATTCCCTGTGCTAAAGGAATCAGAGCTCTACTAGGGGTCATAGCAGATATCATGCAAGTCACATATGTTAATTACTAGAACAGGAATTGATACATTTCAAGATATACTAAACAAAGGGTTTGGAAGGATTAACTGAATGCAGAAATAGAGGAAGAAAATGGATTTGTTTAAAAGATGGTTAGAATCTTTAAAGAAACAACATTTTTTTAAAGTGGCCTTATGTGGACCAAAGCAGAGATGAACTCAAGTGTCAGGTGGGAAAATGCCTAAGTGCAGCTTCTAGACCCAAGGGAGACCTAAAAATCCTGGGACATTTTCGGTTGTCACATGGGGATTGGTGGGAGGGGGTGAGTGGGGTGTTGCTGGCAAACCTCCCACAATGCACAGGACAGACCACTCCACAAGATTCTCTGTCCCAAATTGTTAATAGTGCTGCTGTTGAGAAACCCGCCCCAGAGGTAAATGCTGTAATGTCCTCACCATTTCACAGATTAAGAAACTGAGGCACCAGGGGGAGAAGTGTCAGTAAGACCTGAGCTGCAGGTTGAATCCAGGCCACTTGGCTACAGGGTCTTGGCTCCCCTGGTTAAGTCAGGGACCCAGTAGCCGACCACAAACAATCCCAGCTGCACGGTGCCTTCATGGTCTGTGGGCGCCTTCATGGTCTGTGGCGCCCCCTGGTGTTGACACTGGGCCTGTGGCCAAATGAGGCTTGAGGGAAAAGGAAAAAACAGGTTTGGGTAGGGGGATACTCTTTCAGGCTCTCCAGATTTCCAGCCACGACTTACGCTCAGAAAAAATAATGTCCACCTTAATTATCTCTCCAACCCTGTTTTTCCCTGTCCCGGCTAGTTCCCTCCCTTGACTCCATCAACATCGGCACCTGCCAGACGCCCACCACCCACCATGTAAGGAGTGAAAAGGCCCCAGGACTAAATGACAAGACGAGGTTCCACCCCAGCCATCCCTCCCCTCCTAGAGCTCTAGCTCTGTGCCTTTAGTGCTTAGGCTCTTAACCTGGGGTCCAGGAACCCACTTTCCTATGACACTGCGTGAAGAAGTGATGTTACACGCACACATGACTTCACTACAGGACATTGGATATTAATATTCATCAGATCAGCTAGAGGCCCAAGATACCACTCTTCTCCCAACAGTTTGTGATCCTCTGAATTAAAGAAAGGGTAGGGATTGAGGGAGGCCCTAACTCCAAATCTTCTACCACTTCTAGCGAAGTGCTGAGAAGAAGTGCAAGGTACTCAACCTGCTCTGGGGATACAGCAGGAAAGCAGAGTGTTTACGGATTTCACATTCCATCAAAGAAAATCCATTTTGACAAAATATCCAAGTCACTTTTCTAAGCCCCAGGCAGCAGTTCAAACAAATAACATCAAAAAAACCAAAATCTTGGCCCAGGTGAAATCATTGAAGCTATAAAACTTTGTGAGACCTGTAGTTAGAGAGAAGGACAATTCAGTTTAGGGCTGCAGCAGAAAATTCCTATATCATATTGTGTTCTTCTTCATCATGAAGGTCCCCTGAAGGGACCTTCTCCCTTCAGCAGTGCATAGTGAGGCCATTTCCGTGCAAAAAGATAGAATCTCCTGGGATTCCTGATGTTTACACTTACTACTCACTCCTTCACTTTGTAGATGCCAACTTCACATTAGACATCTTTCAGTTAATTTCCTTACTCTGTCTAAGCAGAATATTTAAACTTCTTTCTGAAGCAGAAAACCAGGGACTGGTTATGTGAGCTATCACCCCACTCTGTGGCTCTCTTAAGCAATAAGCATAAGAGATTGTGGGCCAACAGAATTTGTAGCAAGGTAAACATAACCCTTCATTTCAGCCTATGTTTCAGCTTGTCTAGTGATGTTCCAGTCTTGCTCCAGTCTTAACATTTTAAAATTTATAATTTTACTTGAATATGATTTTATAAGAAGTCATATATATTCATTTCTGTTGAGTCTGTCAGTGAAAGCCTTCTCAAAACAACTGTGAAGTAAAGACAGGTAAATAAATGCATGGTGCTCCCATGTATTAATGCTCACTGCATCTTACAAATGTGTCAGCCCCACTGCAACAGATGGTGCATCAACAAATGGTGCTGGAAACCTGGATATCAACATGCAAAAGAATGATGCTGGAAAAAATTCATGTCCTTCCATTACACCCTTTTCAAAAATTAAGTCAGAATGACTCAAAGAACTAATCTTAAGAATTGAACCTGTAAAACCCTCAAGAAAATACTGAGGAAAATCTTATGGACATTAGAATTGGTAGTGGTTTCTTGGCTGGTGACCAATAGTACAAGTAATATAAGAAAAATGACAAATTAGAATGCATCAAAATTTAAAAACTTTTTTGCATCAAAGGACACTATTAAGAGAATCAAAAGAAAATGCACAGACCAGGAGGAAATATTTGCCAATCACATATCTGATAAAGAATTAATATCCAGAATATGTAAAGAACTACAATTCAACAATAGCAAAACAATCTCATTCAAAAATAAGTAAAAGACATGAATAGACAATTCTCCAAAGAAGATATACAATAAGGACATAAAAATAAGGAATGCTGGTCAGGCATGGTGGCTCATGCCTGTAATCCCAGTACTTTGGGAGGCCGAGGTGGGCGGATCACGAGGTCAAGAGATCAAGACCATCCCGGCCAACATGGTGAAACCCCGTCTGTACCAAAAAAATACAAATATTAGTTGGGCATGGTGGCAGGTACCTGTAGTCCCAGCTACTCAGGAGGCTGAGGTAGGAGAATCACTTGAACCTGGGAAGTGGAGGTTACAGCGAGCCGAGATTGTGCCACTGCACTCCAGCCTGGCAACAGAGCAAGACTCTGTTTCACAAAAAAAAAAAAAAAAGGAATGCCAATAAGGACATAAAAATATGGTAAACTTCACTAGGCCAAGTGTTGGTGAAGATATGGAGAAACTGGAACACTTGTACACTGCTGGTGAGAGTATACAGTGGTGCAGCCACCATGGAAAACAGAATAGTGATTCCTCAAGAAAGTAAAAATAGAATTACTATATGAGCCAACAATTCCACTTTTGGGCATACCCAAAAGAACTGAAAGCAGGAACTCACCCAGATATGTGTACACTCAGGCCCATAGCAGCACTATACCCAATATCCAAAAGGTGGAAGCAACCGAGTGTCCATCAGAGGATGACTGGATAAACAACCCACGGTGCACATAAGCATGGAATATTATTCAGCCTTAAAAGTGAATGAAATTCTAATTGGATGAGCCTTGAAAACACTATAAGTGAAATAAGCCAGAAATAAAAACAAATATGATATTTTACTTATATAAAGTAGCTAGAATAAGCAAATTCATAGAAACAGAAAATAGAATAGAGATTACCAGGGGCTGGGGGTAGGGAGAATGGGCAGTTATGGTTTAATGGGTACAGTTTCTGTTTGGGATGATGAAAATGTTCTGGAAATGGATATTGGCGGTGGTTACACAACACTGTAAATGTGCTTACTGCCACCAAATTGTACACTGAAAAAATGGTTAGAAGGTAAATTATATAGTATGCATGTTTTACCACAATTTACAAAAAATATATCAACACTAAATCCAATCACAGCTCTCATCAAGTTTTTTTATACTGGTGTTTCAACAAGCACATTGCCGCTGTGGAGGGGAGGGGTCCTTGGAGTTCTTATGCCACCATGTTCTTTGGTGTCACTTCTCAGCACAACTTTGGTGGTCAGAGCACAACTTGGTTTTATACATTTTAAGGGGACATGAGACAGTGATCAACATATGTAAGCTAAAGATTGATTCCGTCTGGAAAGGCGGGACAACTCGAAGCAAGGAGGGGGCTTCCAGGTCACAGATAGATGAGAGACAAATGGTTGCATTCTTTTGAGTTTCCGATTAGCCTTTCCAAATGAGGGAATCAGACATGTGTTTATCTCAGTGAGCAGAGGGGCGACTCTGAACAGATGGGAGGCAGGTTTACCCTAAGCAGTTCCCAGCTTGACTTTTCCCTTTAGCTTAGTAATTTTGGGGCCCCAAGATTTTATTTTCCTTTTACAGAACCATCAATACTTACAGAAAAAAAAAAACCCTGAATGTACACAAACCTCTATACCAAACTACCAATTTACAGAAAATACAGGTAATAGAAATACATTAAACCACACCTTGGCGTGCAATCCACAAAATGCAAACAATAGGAAACCTTACCATACAATATAAATTTCAAGGAGAAACCTATGGAACAAATGAGAACAAAAAACATATTTTTAAAGGTAAAACTAAACTATAATTTTGGATGATGAAAATATAAAGTCCAGCATAGGGAAGCAGTTCCTTTAGAATTTTAGTCACAATTAATGGAAGGGTACTGAAACCTGCTATTTCCCAGTTGAATAACAGGTCCTGGGGATATAGAAGGTCTTGCCACAAGTTGAATCCATAACTGCTGCTTTCCTGGTACCAGGGAGAACAGGTTTCCTATCAAGGACTGGGTAGGAGTGTTTGCCAGGCCTGTATCAGCTATTGCCCAAGTTTCCACTTTACAAAAGTGCCATGCATACATGCAACAACATAGTGCCTTCTCCATGCATCCCTTAAGAGATGAACTGCATGCTATCTTAGGGCCAGTACATTATGAGTCCAGTGCTGCCCCTATTGTGGAGCCCTCACAGGAGATGTCTCCAATGGTACATGAAGGCATGGCCCTCATTCCTGATAATGCTTGGTACTTAGATGCATTGAGCCAAGGTAACCCTGTGTATGGACAGTAGTAGCTGCACAACCACAGACAGTATCTGGTTTGAGATGGGAATGCAACAGAGCAGTCAATGGGCAGAACTCCAAGCTACATGGTTGGTTTGTACCCGTGAGCCACCACCTATAGTTCTCTGTACAGACAGTCTGGCAGTACTTAAGGGTCTTACAATTTGGCTTGCCCAAAGGGCCTGAGATGATTGGTATATAATTTAAAAATCCTTATGGGGAGCTGGTATGTGGAAAGACATTTGGAAAAGTCTACAGGAACCCACTGTGGACCTAATTGCTTCAGCACACTGGTCAGATTCACCTCCCAGAAACATGGAGGCAGACATCCTAGCAAAAATTAGAATACTGAGCTAGTTGATTAGGTACATATCACAGTGGGGATTTCAGTGCATGAATGGGCTGCCAAATAGCAAAGGGAGCAGGATTGGCTCTCTGCTATGCAGATTTAGTGGTGGCGGTAGCAAACTGCTTAATTTGTTCCCGTCTGTACCTCTGCCACATCCCACATACACCTGGACATATACATAAGACAGCCACCCCTGTGACAGACTGGTAGATAGACTACATCAGACCCTTGCCAGTAATCTTGAGACGAAAGTATGCACTAACATGTGTATACACTGCCATGGGATTGTTGCAAGCTTTCCCTTGTAAGAGCAAACCAAACAGCCACCATCAGGGGCTTGGAGCAACTCAGTGTCATGTAAGGATACCCTCCACATATTGATAGCAATCGAGGCATGCATTTCACCAGACACGGTGTCCAAGACTGGATGCATGAAAGGGACATAGACTGGGTATTTCACTTACTGTATACTCCCCCAAGCAACAGGGTTGATTGAAAGGAAAAATGGTATTTTGAAGGCACAGTTTTGAGCACTCTCAAAATCCAATATCTTTCATAGTTAGACAAAGATTTTGCCTCAAGCCATTAGAAACCTTAATTTAGTTGAGACAAATATGGTGCTGGCACCACACCAATGACTCAGGACCACCACAGAGATGGATCCATTAACCATAATAGTAAAGAAAGTCCAACCAGATGCATCTCTGACCTGAGCAGATAAAAGGCCAATGGCAAAGGTTATTTAGAACTCCTCAAGATCTTGAGCCAGGGAGGAGACACTTGAATGGGGGTTGGACTAGCAACTTCCCCTATGTTGGATAGAGCATTTCTTTCCAGACAGCAAGGAATTCCCTACCAACTAAAGTGGTCTCCATTGATCCTGCTGAAGTCTGGGCCAAAACACTCCACATACCAATAAACTGGAACACAGTCCCTTTTAAGAAGCACCCTGGCTGGCCATTTGACATGGTCCTTTGCTGCCCCTGTAACCTTACACATAATACCAGCGCCTTTGCCCCTCAGGCAACATGTTTGGTGTGTACTCCCAGCCCACAATCCTATGTTCCTAATCAACAGAGATGGAGCTACCAGTAATTCTGTTTAATGGGGAAGAACTGCCCCACCAAATACCTACTAAACATTTTTAATTCCACCCATAGTCTTCTGTTCCTATTGTTGTTCTGCTCTATACCTCTTGGTTTGGTTCCTGAATAAACATGGTAAAGGGCATTTTTAATTCTGTGTCTTACACCTGGCATACATATCATCGCCTGTTGTTTGTGTTGTTGCTGTGGCCCCTGCTTAACAAGTAGAAAACAAATTGATAAAATGTGTCACTCACACCATCAAAATGTCACCCACAGCCCTCTCTGAAGGCTCAGGGACTATGGGGGAAATGTGAGTCCATGAGATTGTAAGAGCTGGATTAGAAGGCTGGGATGTGGAGAGAAAAGTGACTCCCTCTTGGATGCTAATTCTCTATGCTGACTTCTGATTAGCCCCAGTCCCAGGACTGACTCCTGATTCCCACTTTATTTACCATCCCTATTGTAAGAACATGTCAACCTTGATGTTATACAAATTCTAGGCTATGACACATTAGCATTCTTACCTGTTCTGGACAGTAGTAGCCTTTGTCTTGCACAGAGCATGTATACTCTTCCCCTGTGGTATATAAGCCCTGGGTGTGGGGGTAATAAGTGCAGAAACCTACCTGTCTTCCTGCCATCCAAGACCACGCTTCTGTCTGTAAGTTCCCCAATAAAACACTCTTTACTGACAACTAGATTTGTCTGTCTTGTTCCTTGGTTTATTGGCTCCTTTGGCATTTGGGGGGCACTTTGCATAGATGGCCCTTTCATGGAACAGAGGGTCTGTGTGGGGCTGGGAGCCCAAGTCAGCACTTGCAGTCAGAGCCTAGAACATGTGCTGAGGAGACAGAGCTAGACCTGTTAGCAGAGACAGACCTGTTAGCGGAGTGGATAGCTGGGCCAGCAGGTCTGAAGTAACGCTATGGAAGAGCAGGCCAGTAACAGCTGAAGAGCTTCAGAAACTCCCACTTCTAACAAGGTCACTTCCTCTAAGAGGGACTACTGTTGTATCATAGTACACAGCTGTCTCTGCCTGGCTGTCCTAGTAAATATGCAGCATTTGGGGGCATCCACACTACTGGAACAGTAGCCATGAGAAGAGTCCATTGTGCCAGCTTAATTGCACCCAACTGTACAATGAGAACATGGGGATCAGTGTGTTCTGCTACTTCTCTGCTTAGCATTCCTGATATACCTGCTTTACATAGGCACCATGTGGCACCGTGGTGTGTGCCTGTGCCACTTTGAATCACATTTGGGTATCTATTGGAAGGCTTCTTCGGGACTGTTGTGACACCAACTACACTATGGACTGATCCCTGTCAGAAGGTAACAAAGGGGCAAGGGACAGCATTTCCAGTCTAAGCCCTGGAATGTGCGTGGCATCAAACTGTTTTGCATTTGTGAGCAGGAATACAACTGCTGGACAACAGATATTCCATCAGCCAACAGAAACTGTGACTGGCTTTAAAGAAAATGGGCTTCCCTTGGTCTTGGGAACACAAGACTCAGCAGTATAGAAACAGAAATGGTTGCAGGTGGAGGAAGCACTTTCGCCGGAGTCAGGAAAGCATGAATAACACAAAATCTTCAGCTTTTCCTCCCTTCTCTCTCCTGAGCTTTCTGCACCTCTGCTGTAGCAGTGATGGCAGCAGTGTGGAGAACACAGCCTCAGGGAACAACCAAGGTCCAGGATCACTAGCAAAGGTTATGAGAAACTATGACTTCCTTTAGAAAAAAAAAAAAGGGAAATGAGAGTGCCCAAGGTCTTAGGAGAGGGCTGGTGCAGGCCTGGGGCGTAGTAAATTCTTTAGCTTGTCTAGATTCACCATGCCAAGTGGGGAGGTTGCTTGGGTCAGACTATATTAAAGGACAGCATCTCCACCCTCCCCTAGAGGTCTCAGAATGTCCACTGACTGTGGCTTTAGTGGTCCTTGAACAGAAATTTGGTAACATGAAGAGTAGCAGATGCTGGCATGGTAAGATTACAAATGTGTATCAGAAGAATTATTTTGTGGGTAACAGAAAAAACAACATATAAAGAAACAAGTTAATACCATGAGAATGTCATTAGCCAAACTCAGAATGTGGATCATTCTACAGGACAAGTAACCTGGCTTTTTTGGGGAAACAGAAGCATAGGAGAGCCAGGGTGACACCATTTTAAAGTCAACTCCATCTTTCAACTAGCAAGGCATATTCCTTGCCAGTCACAACCCATGGTCATAAGAGGTTTACAGCTGATTAAACAACTTAATAATGCCTGCAAGAACAAACGCCTATGACAGACAACAGAATGTCCACATGTCCTGACGTCACATTATAATATATGCTTTTAAGATTATTATAGTCATGCTTTGATATACTAACTAAAATGCCAAGGATAACTTTCTTTAAATCAATAGGTCCTAAATTTTGTCATGCTGTCAGAGCACCCACACATAGACATTTAACTTAGCTTTTATGTAGATTAAACCCCTACATTAGAAGAGTTTACAACAAAGATGGTGCATTCTTCCTTTTGCTTTCTGAGGACACCTACTCTGTATCTGAGTAACTTTCAATAAACTATCTCCTTCTCACTGCACTCTGTGACTCACCTTTAATTCCTTCCTGTGCAAGATCCAAGAATACTCTTTTGGGGTCGGGATCGGGACCTGTTTTTCTGGTAACAGTTTCTCCAACAAATCAAAGCCTTGAGAAAAAAAAAATAGGTAGGGTGGGTGGTATGGTATAGAAGAACAGAGAATAATGAGACATAAGAAGCAATTGCAATGTGTGGACCTTCTCTAGCTTCTGTTTCAGACAGACCAATTGAAAAAGACAAGACAGATATTTGAATATGCATTGAGTGTTTAGCAAAATTAGAGAACTGTTGTTAATTTTGTTAGTGTGAGAATAGCATGGCTTTATGTTTTTTAAAAACCCTATTCTGTGAAAGATGCATGCTGAACTATTTAACTGTGAAATTGTATGTAAAGGATTTGCTTTTACAATCCTCCAGAGATGAGTTTATAATGATATAAATGATGTGATAAATAAATCAATGGAGGAGAGGAGGCAAAATCTCTCCTGCAGAAGAACTCCAAATAAGGTAGGTAGATACTTTGTCCTTAAAGGAACAGCATTAACTCCCTCTTCTGGAAGTGTGAATTCTTGATATCATGTAATGAAAATGGTACCTCACTTGTGGCTTTCCTCCCCCCGAATCCATAACCTCTACTTATTATGAAAAAAAAAAAAAACAAAAAAAAAACACCGAATTCCAATAGAGGAACATTCTATAAAATACCTAACTAGTATTCCTCAATAACGTCTAGGTCATCAAAAACAAGGAAAATCTGAGGAATTGTCACAGCCAAGAGGAGCCTAAGGAGGCATGACAACCCCATGTAATAGGGTATCTTGAATGGGACCTTGGAGTAGAAAAATATTATTAGGTAAAACTCAAGGACACCTGAGTAATGTATGACTTTTGGTTAAAAATAATGCATCAATATTGGTTCAATAATTGTAAGAAATGAACCATACTAATGTTAGATGTTAATAACAGGAGAAACAACTTCTCAATTTTCCTGTAGTTAAAACTGTTCTAGAACTGAAGTCTATTTTTTAAAATTCTCCTGGAAAAAAGTGGAAACATATGAAATATGATGGACAAATGTTAGTAATTATTGAATGTGATGATGGATAATGAGAATTCATTATATAATTCTGTTTTTGTGTATTTGAAGTTTTCTATAATGGAAAGTTTGAGGCTGGGCACAGTGGCTCAAACCTATAATCCCAGCACTTTGGGAGGCCAAGAGTTCAAGACCAGCCTGGGCAATGTAGTGAGACCCCATCTCTACCAAAAAACAGAAGAATTAGCCAGGTGTGGTGGGCTTGCACCTGTAGTCCTAGCTACTCAGGAGGCTGAGGTGAGAGGATCACTTGAGCCCAGAAGGCCAAGGCTGCAGTGAGCCATGATGTCATTGTACTCCAGTCTAGGTGACAGAGAGAAACCTTGTCTCCAAAAATAAAAAATAAAAAAAGTTTGAACAAGAAATAAAGAAATATGGAGATAAGGATAAGAAGAAGCTATTTAAAGCACGAGAGTAGCTGCTTTTTTAAATTATGGTTAAAAAAATATATAATAAAATTTACCATTTTGCCATTTTTAAGTGTATAGTTCTATGACATTAAGTATATTCATGCTGTGTAACCATCACCACCCTCCATCTCCAGAACTTTTTCATCTTCCCAAACTAAATGCTAGGTCTATTAAGCAACATCTCCTCACTCTCTCCTCCTCCCCAGCCCCTGATAACCTCCATTCTACATTCTGTCTATGAATCTTACTAAACTAGGTGAATCATGTAAGTGGATTCATACAATATTTTTCCTTTTCAGTCTGATTTATTTAATCTAGCTTCATGTCTTCAAGGTTCATACATAATACAGGAAAATAATTTCCTTCCTTCTTCTGAAAAATATTCCACTGTATGGATCTACCATACTTTGTTCATCCATCGATGGATGTATACTCTGTTGCTTCTACCTTTTGGCAGTTGTGAATAATGTTGTTATAAACATGATGTACAAATATCTGCTTGGTCTCTGCTTTAACTTCTTTTGGGTCTGTACCCAGAAGAGGAATTGCTGGATCATATGTCAATTCTATGTTTAATTTTTTGAAGAACAAAAAGTGGCCGCTTCTACAAAACAGAAATTTTCAGATTAGGAGATGTGGGACAGGGAAAAATTCCTGTCTCTGAAAAGTTAAGAGTTTTCACTATAAGCTTTGTAGAACCATTTTTAAATAATATATGATAAAAATGAAGTAAAGTATGCAATAAAACTCATCTTGTGCTAAGTACTGGAGATACATGGAGGGAGCCCTCAGTCCTCTGGGGGAAGAACCTGGTTATAGAACAGTGTGATCACAGGTGCAACACAGAGAAGACTCCAGGGGCAAGCACAGAAAATAGCCATCAAGGGAGATTCTTTGCACGCCATGCAGAAGTGCCCTACAGGAGGTGACGTGGGAGTGAAGGAGGAAAATATGACATTCTGAGTTGGAGAATTGGAAGATTAAACTTGGAATGATGTCAGCACTGAGATTCTGGGATCATATTGTACAACTGGCCCCATCTCAGCACTAACACTGTGAAATCTTACCTTTCTTATGTCTTCAAATTGTGGCCCTATATTTAGCTTCTATATCTTTCTTTGACTAAATCTCAAAACTAAAATTGGTCCTGATTCCAGGGGAGGTGTTTCTCTGACTCCTCTCTTTTGAATCTCATAGCCTGACATTTTCTCTTCATCTTGAAGACCATATTCAGGAGGGACCCTAGGAACTCTGTATCTCAGCATGTGAGGCTTCAGGCCAAGGGGTGCTAATTTGATTCTGAAAGATCTTATCTGCCTCCAGCGCCATAAGGTCCTGATGAAATGTCCAGCATCTTTGTGGAAATTCAAGTGTCTCCATACAGCATTATATGTCTTGGAGATTATGTATATGAAAAGCTTTACAGATAGGTGTGTCTCAGTGATGCTGTGCAGAGTAACCTGTGGCCTAAGTCAAGTCAGAAAATGCTTTTGACTCTATATTTCTCAAAAATGTAAGTCTTAAAATTTGGCTATGGATGGGAAAATATTACATAATTGAAAGGATAAATATAAGTATGCCAATCAGCCAAAAACACTGCAAATGTTTAATGCAGATTTAAGTTTTCCCTCAAAAACTGTTAATAAATTAATAGTGCAGCTTACAAATGATGAAAAGAGCTGAGACGTTTAAAAAAACTTTCCAAGTGTCAGGTCCTGGTACTTTACATTTATTCTACCTCCTAATCCTTATACTAGGTCAAAGCTCATTTTATGTCTTCAAGATTCAGATGTAACACTGGGAATGAGAAAGGTTAATATAAGTGATATGTCCAGGACTATACTTCTAGTAATTATAGCTCACTGATGGAGAGAACATTAAAATCTGTTTGGCCTTCACTTAAAAACAAATAATATTTGTGTTATAGAAGCAAGACCTTTTTAGTCACAAGTTAATAATTTTAAAGAAAAGATTCAACATGTAAATTTATCTGGAAAGGCCAGGGGTGAGGCTGCCTAGAGACATGATTAGATTCGGAGATACATTTGTCATCAGATCTCTCTGTACTTCTAAAGAAGATAGCCAATATCAGCTTATCAGCTCCAACTCCTCTCATATTATTCTACCTTAACAGCTTCAGCAGAAAAATAGACATCTTTCTCACAATGTTCATAAATAAAGAACCAGAGAAGATGACCTTTGGACCAATACCTGTTGTTATGGAGATGTGGTACAGTGTGGGAAACTCTGATTGGTCAGGGCTGGGTCATGTTATTTCCTCATCCCCTGGTCCATTATATTATTTCTTAAGTTATTTAAAGTCATGGCTACTATTTTTATTTATTTTAATTGACATAATTATACATATTGATATAGTACAGTGTGATATTTTGATACATGTATACAATGTGTAATAAGCAAATAAGGGTATTTAGCCTATGCATCACATCAAACGTTTACCATTTCTTTGTGATGGAAACATTCAAAATCATATCAAAAAGATAATCCACCACAATCAAGTGGGTTTCATACCAGGGAAGAAGGGATGGTTGAACACACTCAAGTCAATAAATGTGACACACCACATAAACAGAATTAAAAACAAAAATCACATGATCATCTCAATAGATGCAAAAAAAACATTCAACAAAATCTGGCATCCTTTATGATTAAAGCTCTCAGCAAAATCGGCATACAAGGAACATACCTCAATGTAATCAAAGCCATCTATGAGAAACCCACAGCCAACATAATACTGAGTGGGGAAAAGCTGAAAGCATTCCCTCTGAGAACTGGAACAAGACAATGATGCCCACTCTCACCACTTCTCTTCAACACAGTCCTGAAAGTCCTAGCCAGAGCAGTCAGACAAGGGAAAGAAATAAAGGTCATCCAAATCGGTAAAGAGGAAGCCAAACTGTCACTGTTTGCTGATATGATTGTATACCTAGGAAACTCTAAAGACTCCTCCAAAAAGCTCCTAAAACTGATACAAAAATTCTGCAATATTTCTGGATACAAAATTAATGTACACAAATCAGTAGCTCTCCTATACTCCAACAGTGACCAGGCTGAGAATCAAATCAAGAACTCAATCCCTTTTACGACAGCTGTAAAAAAAAAAAAAAAAAAAAACAAACTTAGAAATATACCTAGCCTAAGGAGGTGAAAGACCTCTACAAGGAAAACTACAAAACTCTGCTGAAAGAAATCACAGATGACACAAGCAAATGGAAACACATCCCATGCTCACGGATGGGTAGAATCAATATTGTGAAAATTACCATACTACCAAAAGAAATCTATAAATTCAATGCAATTCTCATCAAAATACCACGAACATTCTTCACAGAACTAGAAAAAAAATCTTAAAATTCATATAAAACCCAAAAAAAGCCTGCATAGCAAAAGCGAGACTAAGCAAAAAGAACAAATCTTGAGGCATCACATTACCTGATTTCAAACTATACTATAAGGCCAAAGTCACCAAAACAGCATGGTACTGGTATGAAAATGGGCCCATAGACCAATGGAACAAAATAGAGAACCCAGAAATGAACCCAAATACTTACAGCCAATTGTTCTTCGACAAAGCAAACAAAAACATAAAGTGGGGAAAGGACACCTTATTGAACAAATGGTGCTGGGATAATTGGCTAGCCACATGTAGGAGAATGAAACTGGATCCTCAACTCTCACCTTATACAAAAATCAACCAAGATGGATCAAGCACTTAAAACTAAGACCTGAAACTATACAAATTCTAGAAGATAATATTGAAAAAAACCTCCTAGACATTGGCTTAGGCAAGGATTTCATGACCAAGAACCCAAAAGCAAAATGCAACAAAAACAAAGATAAATAGCTGGGACCCAATGAAACTAAAGAGTGTTTGCACGGCAAAAGAACAGTCAGCAGAGTAAACAGACAACCCACAGAGTGGGAGAAAATCTTCACAATCTATGCATCTGACAAAGGACTAATATCCAGAATCTACAACAAACTCATACAAATTAGCAAGAAAAAGAACAAACAATCTCATCAAAAAGTGGGCTAAGGACATGAGTAGACAATTCTCAAAAGAAGATATACAGCTGGCCAACAAACATATGAAAAAATGCTCAACATCACTAATGATCAGGGAAACGTAAATCAAAACGCCAATGTGATACCACCTTATATCTGCAAGAATGGCCATAATCAAAAAATCAAAAAATAATAGATGTTGGCATGGATGTGGTGAACAGGGAACACTTCTTTTTTTTTTTTTTTTTTTTTTTTTTTGAGACGGAGTCTGGCTCTGTAGCCCAGGCTGGAGTGCAGTGGCGCAATCTCGGCTCACTGCAAGCTCCGCCTCCCAGGTTCACACCATTCTCCTGCCTCAGCCTCCCGAGTAGCTGGGACTACAGGCGTCACTGTGTTAGCCAGGATGGTCTCGATCTCCTGACCTCGTGATCCACCCTCCTCGGCCTCCCAAAGTGCTGGGATTACAGGCTGGAGCCACCGTGCCTGGCCTGAACAGAGAACACTTCTACACTGCTGATAGGAATGTAAACTAGTACAACCACTATGGAAAACAAGGTGGAGATTTTTTTAGAGAACTAAAAGTTGAACTACCATTTGATCCAGCAATCCCACAATCCCACAATGGGTATCTGCCCAGAGGAAAATAAGTCATTATATGAAAAAGATACTTGCACACACGTTTATAGCAGCACAATTCACAATTGCAAAAATGTGGAACCAACCCAAATGCCCATCAATCAATGAGTGGATAAAGAAACTACTCAGCCACAAAAAGGAATGAATTAATGGCATTCACAGCAACCTGGATGCGATTGAAGATTATTATTCCAAGTGAAGTAACTCAGGAATGGAAAACCAAACATCGTATGTTCTCACTCTTAAGTGGGAGCAAAACTATGAGGATACAAAGGCATAAGAATGACACAATGGACTCTGGGGACTCGGGGAAAGGGAGGGAAGAAGGTGAGGGACAAAAAGCTACAATTTGGGTGCAGTGTGTACTGCGTGGGTGATGGGTGCACATTTGCTCCTTTTAAAATGATACTATTATTATTTTGCTGTTGTTTGAGTTTCTTGTAAATTCTAGCTATTAATCCCTTATCAGATGAATACTTTGCAAATACTTTCATTCTCTAAGTTGCTGTTTTATCTCTGTTGATTGTTTTCATTGCTGTACAGGAAATTTTTAGTTTGATGTAGTCCCATTCATACATTTTTGCTTCTCTTGCCTGTGCTTTCAAGGTCTTAATCACAAAATCTTTCCTGCGTCCAACACTCTAAAGTGTTTTCTGTATGTTTTCTCCCAGTAGGTTCATAGTTTTGGGTCTTGCATTTAAGTCCTTAACTCATTTTCAGTTGATTTTTGTGAATGGTGAGAGATAGCAGTCTAGTTTCATACTTCCTAATATGGATATCCAGTTTCCCCAGCATCATTTATTGAAGAAACTGCCCTTTCCTCAGTATATGTTCTTGGTGATTTTGTTAAAAATAAATTGAGTGGCTGGGCACGGTGGCTCACGCCTGTAATCCCAGCACTTTGGGAGGCTGAGGCAGACGGATCACGAGGTCAGGAGTTTGAGACCAGCCTGACCAACATGGTGAAACCCCGTCTCTACTAAAATACAAAAATTAGCCAGGCGTGATGGCACACGACTGTCATTCCAGGCTGAGGCAGGAGAATCGCCTGAACTCAGTAGGTGGAGGTTGCAGTGAGCCGAGATCGCACCACTGCACTCCAGCCTGGGTGACAGAGCGAGACTCCGTCTCAAATTAAAAAAAAAGAAAAAAGAAATTAACTGTAAATATATGGATTTATTTCGGGGTTCTCTATTCTGTCTCATTGGTTTATGTGTCCGTTTTTATGCCAATACCTTGCTTGCCATTTTGGTTACTATAGCTGTATATTTTGAAGTCAGGTACTGTGATACTTCCAGCTTTGTTCTTTTTGCTCAAGATTGTTTTAGCTATTCAGGGTCTTTTGTGGTTCCATACAAATTTTAAGATTTCTTTTTCTATTTCTATAAAGAATGACATTGGTATTTTGATAGGTATTGCATTGAATCTGTAGATTGGTTTGGGTAGTATGGTCACTTTAACAATATTAATTCTCCCAATCCATGATAATGGAATATCTTTCAATTTTTTGTGTCCTTTTCTATTTGTTTCATTAGTATTTTATAGTTTTCATTACATACTTGGTTAAATTTATTCCCATGCTTTTTTATAGTTACTGTGAATGAGATTTCTTTCTTGATTTTTCATCATTTTGAGTTTGCCTCTATGGCCTTTATTGTGTTTAGGTACATTCCATCTATACCTAATTGGTTGGAAGTTTTTATCATGAAGTGATATTGAATTTTATCAAATGCTTTTTCTGCAGCTATAGAGATGATAATATTAGTTTTGTCTTTCATTCCACTAATATGCTCTATCATGTTTATTGATTTGTATGGAAAGTCTACAGTTTTTTTATGTTGATTTTATATTCTGTAAATTTACTAAATTTGTTTATCAGTTCTGAGAGTTTTTTGATGGAGTCTTTAGGTTTGTGTATAAATAAGATTATGTCATCTGCAAACAGCAACAATTTGACTTCCTCTTTTCCAATTTGGATGCCTTTTATTTCCTTCTCTTGCCTAATTGCTCTGGGTCGGACCAGTACTATGTGTTTTTGTTGTTGTCATTGCTGTAATCTTTTAAAATTTTCTATCCATTTCCATAGGAATCAGTCTAGTACTATGTTAAATTTGGTAAAAGCAGGCATCCTTATCTTGTTCCAATTCTTAGAGGGAAATCTTTCAACTTTTTTTCCATTATGTATGTTGTCAACTATCGAATTGTCATATGCAGCCTTTATTGTATTTAGGTACATTTCATCTATACCTAGTTGGTTGAGAGTTTTTAATCATGAAGTGATGTTGAATTTTACCAAATGCTTTTTCTGCATCTAGAGATGATCATTTTATTTTTGTCCTTCATTCTGTTGATATGATCTATCACGTTTATTGATTTGCAGATATGTAACCATTCTTGCATCCCTGGAACAAATCCCATTTGATCATGGCATATAATCTTTTTGATGTGTTGTGGATTTAGTTTGCTACTATTTTGTTAATTTTTGCATCTGTGTTTATCAGCGTGTAGTTTTTTTGTTGTTGTATCCTTCCCTGGTTTTGATAACAAGGTAATGCTTGCTTCCTAGAATAAATTTGAAAGAACTCCTTCCCCCTTCAATTTTTTGGAATAGTTTCAGATGAATTGGTGTCAGTCTCTCTTTAAATGTTTGGTGGAACTGAACAATGAAGGCATCCAGTACTGGGCTTTTCTTTGTTGGGAGACTTTTTATTCCTGATTCAAGCTCATTACTCATTATTGGTATGCTCAGGTTTTTAATTTCTTCTTGGTTCATTCTTGGTATATTTTATGTGTCCAGGTTAAACTTCAGTTGCCTTTATAATCTAATGAGAGCTATGGACCAAAATTTTGGGTAAAGCACTTTCCGTGGCAGTTAGATTTTTTAAAAAAACTTCTTTCATTGCCCCCACCTTTTTTGTTGTTGTTGTTTCAAGTGAGTTATGGGTTTCTTTTTAACTGAATTGTATAAGCAAAATATCTCCAAGTAGCCTTGAATTAGTAACAAATCAATCTTTTGTTTACCAGTCTTGTTTGCTTAATTAGCAAATGTGGGGAGGGAAGAATTTTAGCTGTTTTTTTTTCTTCACCTTTTTCTTTTTGGCTTTTGCATGGCACAAAAAACAAAATTTTTCTGTTGAACAGGGATACCTTCTATTATTGCTCTGAGATCAAGATTTTGACCTATTTGGTCTGAGAGCCTAACTTTTATAAACATTTATTTTTTTTTCTTTTATGTTACTAATTTTTCAATTAAGTGTTTCATTATTGTACACAGTTGTTAGGGAAACCTAAATTTATATTTATAAAAGGTGTCAGCCAGGTGCGGTGGTTCACGCCTGTAATCCCAGCACTTTGGGAGGCCGAGGCAGGCAGATCACAAGGTCAGGAGATTGAGACCATCCTGGCTAACACGGTGAAACCCCGTCTCTATCAAAAATACAAAAAATTAGCCGGGTGTGGTGGCGGGCACCTGTAGTCCCAGCTACTCAGGAAGCTGAGGCAGGAGAATGGTGTGAACCCGGGAGGCGGCGCTTGCAGTGAGCCCAGATCAGGCCACTGTACTCTAGCCTGGGGGACAGAGTGAGACCCCATCTCAAAAAAAAAAAAAAAAGGTGTCTAGGTGGTTGATTACCATGGAGCTATTGTAATCTGTAAAGCCATTAATTTCAAAGCCTTTAAGGCTGTTTTCTTTCCTTGACTGAAATGCCATAAGCAGTGAGTTTTATCTCAACACCTGTAGAAATGTCATCATGTTCAAAGTAGGCAGAAAAAAAAAGAGAGAGAGAGAGAGAACTTCTACATGTTAACTCTATAATTGCTGGTTTTTAAAAATAATGACCATTTCAGTTCTGAATTTTCCTTCATTTTGCCTATCTACTTATAAATGTGCACAAGAAAGTTAACATTGATTTTGAACATTTCAAACCAATTAATACATCATTGTATTTGTGTGACAACAAATTCCATACAGAAGCTCTTACAGCACTACTTTCAGATGAAAGCAAGTCTGGATTCATCGTAATAGATGGTAGTGGTGCACTTTTTGGCACCCTCCAAGGAAACACAAGAGAAGTCCTGCAAAAACTCACTGTGGATCTCCCAAAGAAACACGGTAAAGGTCAGTCAGCCTTGCGTTTTGCCTGTTTAAGAATGGAAAAGTGACCTAACAATGTTCAGAAAGTAGCAGAGACTGCTGTGCAGCTGTTTATTTCTGGGGACAAAGGGAAGGTGGCTGGTCTAGTTTTAGCTGGATCCGCTGACTTTAAAACTGAACTAAGTCAATCTGATACGTTTGATCAGCGGTTACAATCGAAAGTTTTAAAATTAGTTGATAGGCCGGGCGTGGTGGCTCATGCCTGTAATCCCAGCACTTTGGGAGGCCAAGGCGGGCGGATCACGAGGTCAGGAGATCGAGACCATCCTGGCTAACACGGTGAAACCCTGTGTCTACTAAAAATACAAAAACAAAATTAGCTGGGCGTGGTGGCGGGTGCCTGTGGTCCCAGCTACTTGGGAGGCTGAGGCAGGAGAATGGCGTGAACCTGGGAGGCGGAGCTTGCAGCGAGCCCAGATCACACCACTGCACTCCCGCCTGGGCAACACGGCAAGACTCAGTCTCAAAAAAAAGAAATTAGTTGATATATCCTATGGTGGTGAAAATGGATTCAACCAAGCTGTTGGGCTATCTACTGAAGTCCTCTCCAAAGTGAAATTTATTCAAAAGAAGAAATTAGTAGGGATACATTGATGAAATCAGCCAGGACACAGGCAGGTACTGTTTTGGTGTTGAAGATACACTAAAGGCTTTGGAAATGGGAGCTGTAGAAATTCTAATAGCCTATGAAAATCTGAATATAATGAGATATGTTCTTCATTGCCAAGGCACAAAAGAGGAGAAAATTCTCTAACTCCAGAGCAAGAACAGGATAAATCTCATTTCACAGACAAAGAGACCAGGCAGGAACATGCGCTTATCAAGAGCATGCCCCTGTTGAAATGGTTTGCTAACAACTATAAAAAAGTCGGAGCTACATTGGAAATTGTCACATATAAATCACAAGAAGGGTCTCAGTTTGTGAAAGGATTTGGTAGAATTGGAGGTCTCTTGTGGTACCAAGTGGATTTCCAAAGAATGGAATACCAAGGAGGAGACGATGAATTTTTTTACCTTGATGACTACTAGGTAGTCGACATGGGTCCGGCAAAACATGCCTCACTCTCCAGCATCCAACCCAAGGAGCATACTCATGATGGAATCCAAACAGATCCCTGCCTTACAATTGGAACATTTCCAGAACTTAATCCATGAGCACTGGATATTGAAAAGAAAACAGAAACAAAACCAGACCCAACCCTACACTTTGGTTTGTCACGGTGTCAGCGTAGCAGCCTACAACTAAGTTCCTAAATGCCACTTTGGACTAATTTAAAAAAGAATCCCAGTTTTTACTTTTACTCGATGGTGAAATTGGCTGCTCTTGTATTTTATTTAAAAAATGATTTTTTTAACCTTTATACAAATAAGCAAAAATACTTTAACTGCTGTAAACCTTCAAAAGTTAATAGAAGTGAGATCGTACTGCTTTCTTATTTTGATTGGAGAGAAATTAAATTGCTACATTTTGCAGTGACCCATTTACATGGCATTCTCAGCTTAGACTGCATAAGAAGAAATATATGTGGTGAAATGTTGGAACCATTTCTCTCTTGGTCTCTGTTTAATGATGAAAGAGTGAGCTAATAGGAGGCAATTTCAACTTCACTCCCTCACGCTACCCCTTCCCCCTCCAGACTGGCCGTTTCAAGGATGAAAATTGCATTGCAAAATCAAACTGACTCATGAAGCATTTGGGCCAGTGCACTGTTTACTTCCATCTGTTTGCAGACACATTTGTGCCCGGTGTTTGGGAGCTCTTTGTATCAATGTTCCGACAAGGGTCCCAATAACCTTAACCTACTCGAAACCAGTTTGGGATGGATATGATGGGGCTTCTGTGCTATTGCTGGGATTGGGAGAAATAAAACATGCAATTTAAGTGGAAGCAAAACAATTAAAAATAAAATAAATAAATCCATTGCCTGATTCCATGTCTCCCTCCAATTACCGCCCCATTTCTCTGACACTCCTTATAGAATAATTCCTTAGTCAATTGTCTCATGATGTTTTTAATATATCAAATGGATTTATGGACAGTGTTTCAAAAGCCAAATACTTCTACAAGGCTTGTTATGAACACAGATGTCCCCAATCTTTCATGTACACCATTTCCTGAATCCTAGAGGCAATCTACTTTATTCTGCCTAATTTTTTGATCGTTACATCTGTGCCTCCAAATAGTGTGTTATAGTGCCGTTTTGTTTTTCACTCTTATGTATCATCCTTAGTGTATAGCTCCCTTTCATATACCCCTCTCCTCTCAATATAGTTATTTTATAATTTTGGTTAGCTGGGTGTTCACTATTTATATTATTATGACCACAGAAATGCTATTCACAGCTAGACTAGGAAATGCTATTCACAATTAGATTAGGAAATGCTGTTCACAATTAGATTAGGAAATGCTATTCACAAGGATTATTTTCCTTCCTGGAATTGACTTTTTAATTTCCCTGGAATTAATAAATGTTTTATCCCTTCATGTGCTTAATTTCTGTTGTACTCATTATAAAATCTCTTCCAAATTTCCCTCCAAGGCCTCTGCTATAGTTTGAATGTGTTCCCCAAAGTTCATGTGTTAGAAACTTGATCCCCAATGCAGTGATATTGGAAAGTAAGGCCTAATAGAAGCTGTCTGAGTCATGAGCGCAGAGCCCTCATGAACAAATTAATATCATTATTATGGCAGTGAGCCCATAATAATAATATTGTCCTCTCTCTTGCCCTTGACCCACTTGCCATGTGAAGACACAGCAAGAAGGCTCTTGCCAAATGCTGGTGGCTTGATCTTGGATTCCTAGCCTCACAACTGAGAAAACAAATTTCTGTTCTTCATAACTGACCCAGACTATGGCATTCTGTTATAGCAGCATAAATGAACTAAGACAGTCTCCATGAATATATTCAACCATGCCCCGTGTTCTACCAACCTCATCTTTGTGAAGACACTTCCCTTGGTCCTGCCACACGTGGACTGGTGCATGCACATCTGGGCTGATTTCCAAGATCGTCTTCACCTCATCCTGGGCATCCCTCTGCCTCTCTCTTATGCTGGCTCTCCTATTGCCTGGATCCCATGTGTCCCCTTTTTTGGTTTTCTCCATCGTTTTTGTTTCTCATTTCATCTGTGTTCCTAAGGGAACATGGAAAGTAAAATCTGAAAGCCTAAGCTTCTGAAAATGTCTTCGGGCTACCCTAGCACTTATTCCAACCTGGACTTGGTATGGAATTCTGTATTGAAAACATTTTTCCTAGGAATTTCCATGACATTCCATCAACATTTTTTAGCTTCTAATGTTGTTTTTCTTGCCTTTTGATGTTTTTGGGATTTCTTCTTTTCCACCCACCTTCTAAAATTTCATTGTGATGTGTCTTGGTGTGGGTCTGTTTTCATCTACTATAGTAAGAACTTGGTTGGGGCCATTACAAGTTAAATTTTTGTCTGTAAACTTGGAGAAATTTTTTTATTTTAAATAATTTCTATCTTTCCATTCTTTTAGAATTTGTATTATTAAGTTGCAGGAAATCCTTGACTGATAGCCTAGTATTCGTATAGTTTTTCTGTCTTTCTTGACATTGTTTTTCCATTTTTAATATTTAGTGGTAGTACAAATTTACTCTTCCAAGTGATCTATTGAAATACTTATTTAAATGATCACTTTTTGATTTCCAAGAGTGCTTTTTGGTTCTCTGATTGTATATAATTTTATAAAATCCTATTCATCATTTATAAATGCCATATCTTATTATTTCTTTTAGGTATTATTGAGAATAGTGGTAGTGGACCTGTTAGATCTCCTGGTTATCTGCTTTCATGGTACCATGAACTTTTCTTCACCACACTTAGCTCAGCAGTAATTTTATATTTCTCTTTGTAAGTTCTGCTAAATGTGCATCTCCTTCATGACAGTGCAAACATCAAATTGCCAGCATCTTACTTTTGCTCTTCACTGTATCTTCAGGGTCTAGTAGATCACATGATTCATCAGAGGACTTGAAATACATGCTGAATGAGGAAATATAAGTGTGGTTAGGCAGGGAAATCAGACTTCCTTGATCAATTGCCCCTTGATGTTCTCCTGAGCACTGTATCTCATGACCTCCTGTCATAGAACATTCAGGGACATTGAAAGAGTTCACTGGCATGGGATACAGCGTCATATCCACCACCAGATGGACAGGGAATCAGTGAAAGATGATTCCATTAAGAGAAAATTCCCTGGGTCCACTCCACCCCCACCACCTGCTTAACCTCTCTGAGTCTCCCTTTCCCTGTCTATACAAAGATATCACATATCGGGCTTCTCATGGGTTTGCATTGAAGATCAAATTTGACTCTCTCAGTAAAACACATGGTATTATACCTTGAGGTATATTAAGTGTTCTGCTACTCATAGCTACTATCCCTATATTGATTACAGCATTTGGATTGTTTCAATCATTTTGCTTTTATAAACCAAAATTCAAGAAACATCCTTGAACATATATTTTTTAGAATGTGTGCAGTTATCTTCTTAGGAAAAATTCTTGAAAGAGAAATATATGCATTGAAATGTAAGTCCATTTATATTGTTAACATGTTTCGCAAAAGTCCCCTCTAGAAATTTATACCCCAGTGTTTTTTGTTGTTGTTTTGTTTTGTTTTGTTTTTGAGACAGAGTCTTGCTCTGTTTCCCAGGCTGGAGTGCGGTGGCACGATCTCGGCTCACTGTAAGCTCCGCCTCCTGGGTTCACACCATTCTCCTGCCTCAGCCTCCCAAGTAGCTGGGACTACAGGCGCCTGCCACCACGCCCAGCTAATTTTTTTTTAATATTTTTAGTAGAGACGGGTTTCACCGTGTTAGCCAGGATGGTCTTGATCTCCTGACCTCGTGATCCACCTGCCTCGGCCTCCCAAAGTATACCCGTTTTTCATCAGCCTTCATGACAGTGTATTTTCCCTACCTCTGGATAATATGCTTATCATTTACTTTCACATATGCCAAACTGACAGATTTTAATTTTCATTCGCATTTCTAATGTCATGTTCTCATTTTTCCTCATATTCATTAATCAGAGTATATTGTCTGATATTTGATTTATTCTTTCCCATATTGCTTTCTAATATTATTATTTTTCTATTGGGATGACTTAAAAATGTTGAATTTGACTAAGAAAAAAAGCAGCTCTTGACTTCTGACACTGACAGTAGGTTTCAGTACTGTTAGAAGCTGTCCTACTGCTCAACACTAGGCCATATTATTCTTTTCTTGGACATAAACCATATTACACAACATCAGACAAGGACACTCTGGGAACATGATAAAACAAGACAAAACAGGGGCACTACATAATTTAGTATAAGCACAGACAAAAACCAAGGCACTGTGTACCTCACAAAATACCAAACCTCTCCCCCTGCTGGCTAATATGAGTGACGGCTGTTTCTTTACCAGCCACAACTTTATCCTTGCTCTGCTCTGCATTTATTATGGGTAAGATTTATTGAGACAGTCGTAGAAATGTTCCTGCTTTTTGACAACACCCCATCTACAGTCAACCCCTACCTCGTTAGCTCTCCCCAAAAACATCCACTAAAAGACCAAATCCTATATTGCATTTTTTCTAATATCCTCACGCTAAGATGGTGTGCATTCTCTCTTGTGACAATGAGTAATAAACCCCAGTTGTTCAGCTATAGATGTTCCTGGTGGTCTTTGGCTGAAAGACATTGAAATATGCTACCTTTTGTCTTTCCAATTATTTATGTGTCTTTGAATTTGATCACAGGCATATGTTTGTATATTTGTGAGTCTGTGGTTGACATAGAGAAGTTTTATTTTTTTATTTATGGCTTTTCATATTTGGGTCATGCTTACAGAATCCTTTTCTACCTCACAATTGTAAAACTTAACATCTATTTTCATCTAGGTACAGATGATATGAAGAGAGGGAAGTCCCAGAGTGAAGAGAAACACACAGATATGTTTGATTTGGGGAGAAAGCTGGGGGGAATGAGAAAGAAGCAAAGAGTTCTAAGGTGGAGTTTTAACATTTAAAACCTGGTCAGGTGTGGTGGCTCACGCCTGTAATCCTAGCACTTTTGGAGGGCAAGGTAGGCAGATCACTCGAGGTCAGGAGTTCAAGACCAGCCTGGCCAACATGGTGTATTCACCAAAAAATACAAAAACTAGCCAGGTGTGGTGGTGTGTGCCTGTAGGCCCAGCTACTTGGGAGGCTGAGGTGGAAGAATCACCTGAACCTGGGAGGCGGAGGTTGCAGTGAGCCATGATTGCCCAACTGCAATCCAGCCTGGGTGGCAGAATAAGACTCTATCTCAAAAATGAAAAAGTTTAAATCATTTGCTTATAATTTTAAAATATGTCTACAAAGCCTATAAGATATTTTATATGGCAACTTCAATAAATACTTTCTCTTGGGCTAAGTAATGACTTATATACCTCCTTGTGTTCACCAGGTTATAGAAAACAGTAACACCAAGAGTCTCAATGAAATATTGACAAGGATTAGCTCTGGTGATAAGCATTTTTGAAAATGTATGACCTTGAGTTGATAAATCATGTTTTGGTAATCTATACGTACACTCTAATTGTTAAAATACATATTGAACTTTCTTGGGCCTGCTGTATTTTAGGGATATGTCTAAGACCCACATAGCCAAATCCATGGGTTCTATGTGAAGGTAATTTTAATGTATTTCAATCTGGGAGTCACAAGGTATCTTTTTTTGTGGGGGAGATTGAAAACTAAGAGCACTCTAGATAAGCAAAATGGTAACTACTAGCTACACATGGCTATTTATATTTCAATTAATTGAATAAAACTTTTAAAAAATCAACTCTTTATCACACTAGCCACATTCCAAGTGCTCAATAACCACATGTAACTAGTGGCTCCCATATTGGACAGTGCAGATATAGATCAATTTCATCATCACAGAATGTTCTATTGAACAGCACTACTGCTATAGAGATTTTTATGCTCCTCCCAAAATAAAACCTAATCCCCAATGAGATGATATTTGGAAGTGGGTTTGTTTTAGAGGAAGTGATTATGTCATGAGGTCAGAACTCCCATGAATTGAACTTGTACCCTTATAAAAGAGATTCTAGAAAGCTGTCTTGGCCCTTCTGCCATGGGAGGATGCAGTGAGAGGACAGCTATGAAGAAGCAGGCCCTCACCAGACACAGAGTTAGCTGACACCTTGATATTGGACCTCCCAGCCTCCAGCACTGTGAGAAATATCTTTCTTTTGTTTATAAGCCACCTAATCTAGGGTATTTTTGTTATAGCAGCCTGATGGATTAAGATAACTGCTCTTGGTGCTATGTGGGCCTCAAGTCAAGTGCATTAGACACATCTAAAATGAAAGGGTGACTGGTTGTGGTGACTTACGCCTGTAATCCCAGCACTTTGGGAGGCCAAAGCAGGAGGATCGCTTGAGCTCAGAAGTTTGAAACCAGCCTGGGGAACATAGCAAGATCCCATCTCTACAAAATATTTTTTAAAATTAGCTCTACAAAATATATAATTTTTAAAATTAGCTGGACATGCTGGCAAGTGCCTGTAGTTCCAACAGCTTAAGAGTCTGAGGTGGGAGGATGGCTTGAGCCCCCCGAGAGTTCGCCACTACAGTGAGCCATTATCATGCCACTGCACTCTAGCTTGGGTGACACTGTGAGACCCCATCTTGGAAAAAACAGAAATGAAAGGGCCAATATTATTTCTCATAGAGATTGCAAATTCAAAGTGGGTCAGGAGTGAAATCTCTATTTTGTGCTTTTAGGCGCAAACCATTCCCAGCTCCAAAATGGAAACACATTTGCCACCTCTGTTCCCAGACTAAGGACACTCTCTGCATCCAATTTACAGGTGATAGGTTCTCTTCTATAAGAGCCCAGGGCAAGGCAAACTTAGCGCTAGCTAAGTTTTGGGATGCAGGGAGTCCTGCTCGGGGAGAAAAATTTGGGAAAATGAAGAGGCAAAGGGGCCAGTCAAGAACTCTCCACAGCTTACCCAGAACAGGATTTCTCAAAGTGCAATCTGTGGAACCCTTGTGGGCTGCTGAAACCCCTTCATAGATCCACAAGGTTAAAAGTATTTTTATAATACAATGAAGACATTATTTGTACTAAAGTAAAACTTGACAAGAAGGGAGGCTATGGTACCAAACTGAAATAGTAGTTATTATATTCTTAACCACTTCTTAATTATAGAAGAAAAAACAGGTTTCACTTAAATATGTCCTGGTTGAAGTATCAAAGAATTATTAACTTTATTAAATCTCTATCCCAGAATCCACAGTTTAATATATCTTAAATGAGTAAGTGGGAAGTACGCATAAGGTATTTCTACTACATTCCAAATTAGGATGTTTGAGGCCAGGCGCAGTGGCTCCCACCTGCAATTAATTCTAGCACTGTGGGAGGCCTAGGCAGGTGGATCATTTGAGGTCAGGAGTTCAAGACCAGCTTGGCCAACATGGTGAAACCCTGTCTCTACTAAAAATACAAAATTAGCCAGGCATGGTGGTGCGCACCTGTAGTCCCAGCTACTAGGGAAACTGAGTCACAACAATCACTTGAACCCGGGAGGTGGAGGTTTCAGTGAGCCAAAATCATGCCACTGCACTCCAGCCTGGGTAACAGAGCGAGACCCTGTCTTAAAACGAAAACAAAAACAAATTAAAATGTTTGTGTCCACAAAATCATTTTGTGAGTTGTACTAGTCTATTTTTTATGGAATATCCTTTTTACTTGAAAGAATGAATGACAGAAATGATTATCATTTAGACTTGAATATTTGGCTGACACTTTCTCAAAAACGAACATAACCCTGTCCCTTCCACATAATCAACTGATGGTATTATTCCCAATGATAAAAGGCAAGCTCTCAAGAGAAAATTAGAATCCTGGGGAACTTGTATCCACCATCATAAGCCTGATGGCTTCCCAATACTTAACAATCTTTTCTGGTAATATCTGTGGTACTATTAAAAAATGTGATTTTTTGATAACTTGTAGTTAAATGTGTCAACACTGGAAGACATAATGTGGTGAAATTGTGTTTCTTTTTTTAAAAGTCATGTATTATACAAGAAGCATTCAATGTGGAAGTCGGACCTATATATTTTAATGTAACAGCATGTGAAATAGTTATTGATAGTTTCATGTTCCACATTACAAATAACCTTTAAGAAGCTAACACTTCTATCATTTTAGTGTAGTATCAAGGATGAATATCCAGTTTTCTAAAAATGTTATTAAAAACATTCCTGGCCTAGCGAGGTGACTTATACCTGTAATCCCAGCATTTTGGGAGGCCAAGGCAGGAGAATCATTTGAGCCTAGGAGTTCCACCCAGGAGTTCGAATGAGACCCCCATCTCTACAAAAAATAAACAAAATTAGCTGTGGTGGTGTTTCGTGCCTGTGGTCACAGCTGCTCATGAGGCTGAATTGGGAGGATCACTTGAGCCCAGGAATTCGAGGCTGCCGTGTGCTATGATCACACCACTACACTCAAGCCTGGGTGATAGCATGAGACCAAAAGAAACAAACAAACAAACAAAACCCCCCAACAAAACCCAAAACAAGAACAGCAACAAAAATATCATTGTGTGAGGATGGATTTTTTTTCATACACTTCAACCAAACATAACAGATTAACCAAAATAACAGATTAAATGAAGGAGAAGAAAATTCATTAATCTTCTAATGAGACACATAAGAAAAGGATTTACAAACATACAAAATGTAAAAAGATGCACTCTTCTCACTATACTGTTTACTTTGGGAAATACTGACTTTGCATAAAAATATTTCTAACATGCAATGCATTATTAATATTCTAAATGAATAAAATAATTTAAGTGATTTTAGTTTCTAATATGGTAAATATTAACGTATATAACTCACATAAAATTATCTTCAGAGTCCTCACTAATTCCTAAGAGCATGCAGAGATCTGAAACCAAAACGTTTGAGAAACGATGACGTAACTCCTAGCTCTGGATTAAGGGAGAATGTGTGACAAAGAGCATTTGGTATAGGAGGAGAAGGGCCAGGCCTTATCCTGTCTCTAGGACTGTGGCAAGGGCTTTGTGTGACCAGGTCAGCCTAGGCTCAGGCTTAGGTCTGGCCCTCAGCCCCCATCTTGTTCATTGTTTTGTTTTGACAGAAGACTATGCCTGTTCTTCTTCTTGTATCTGAGTTCTGGTCTCCAAGTCTCCAATCTCCTCTAGGACAGCCGTAGGAGTTACTTTTTCTGTCATTGTCCTCACAAGCCCTGGGGTGGCCCCTGCACACAGGAGTCTCTGTGGTATCGAGACCAATTTTTAGACCCACCCAGCTCTTGTCCTTCCAGGGCTGTTTCCTGGACTATTCTTCGCATCTTTTCCCCAATCTTTTTCAGGAAATCAAATTCTGGAATTAGAGATCATATCTCGGTTTCTCACCTTAGATAAACTCCTGTTAGGTTTCTAACAGGAATTTATTTTTGGCTCACCTACCCTCTCTCCCTGCCTTTGGCTGTAATAATCCTAGTGCTGGCTCAAATCCAAACTCATGGATGTCTAGACTCTAATTTAATTCACAGTTGGTTGGAAAATAGGGTCCATAAGCCTAGGATCATTTTTTTTTTTCTGAAAAGGGAACTATAATTGTCTGCTGTGGTATATGAGGATTGGTGTGGGAGGGAGGCGAGAACAGCATTTGTGAGAAAAGTACAGGCAGCACTGATGTCAACATGAGTGGTTGTTTCACTGTAGCTGCCACAAAACAGCATGTGGTCTGCAGCTACATTAATAAAGATACTGTTTCTAGAATAGGGAGGTGCTGTACACTGGTCATTCATTTAGCCAATATTTGTTGAGTGCTGGCTGTATGAAATGCTAGTTTTACATCTGGAAACTAAAAACAGGCAAAAATTGCTGGCCTTGAGGGGCACATGTTTTAGTGGGAAAACACAGACTATGTACTATAAGCAGAGTAAATAAGGAAAGTGTTTCTGTCAAAAGGTGCTGAGGGGTGTGAGGCAGGTGATCCAGATTGTGGGTGTGTGGGGACAGGGAAGATGGCTGTTTTACTAGGGTGGTCTATGGTCTCACTGGGAATGTGACCTTAAGAGAAAAGATGAATTATCTATGAGGACGTCTGGGGCAGGTTCTTTCCAGGCAGGGGAACCCCCAGTGCAAAGGCACCAGAACAGGAGCACATCTGGGTTGTGGGAGGAGTTGAGGGGGCTCAGATAGCTGCAGCAGTCATTGATATAAGGTCAGAGATTTGGGGAGATCATGTAGGCTTGAGGATACTGGAAGGGTTCTGACTTTGCTCTGAGTGAGATGGGGGAGACACAAACAGCTGTCAGCAGAGTAGAGACTTGGCACATCTTTTAAAAGGATCATCCTGGCTGCTATGCTGAGAACAGAATTGAGAGATGAGGGGTGAGTGAGAAAGTGGGAAAACTGTAGGAAACTAGTGCAGTATTTCAGATTAGCAACTCTGGTTGCTTTGCCTGGGGTGTGAGCAGAGAAAAGAGTGGGAAGTGATTGGATTTCAGACACATTCTCAATATGGACTTCACAGTACTTCCTAATAGATTAAGTCTGGGGTATGAAAAAGAGGAGTCAAAGAGGAACCCCAAAATTTCAGACTGTGCAAGTAGAAAAATGAAGTTGTTGTCAGCACAGATGGGGAAAATTCTGAAAGGGGCATATTTGAGGAGGGGGCACTATAGGCATTCAATTTAGGAAATGTTGAATCTCAGATGTCAGACATTCAAGTGAGGTTGTTGTGTTGGCAGATGGATATGCAAGTTGGAAATGTAGGAGAAATGTCTGGGCTGGGAAAATAGATTTAGGAGTTAATGCCATATTAATGATATTTAAAGCATAGAGCATGCATGAGTCGCCAAGGGAAAGATGGCTATAGAAGAGAAAAAGGACATGGACTGAACCCTGGACCTTCAGTGCTAAGGGATTTCATCAGAACACACTCTGACAGCAGACTGCACAGTTCTAACACCACATCTAGAAAGTAAGTAAATCTGAGAATCTCAAATTTTAGTGTGCGTAGGAATCACCTGGACAACTTTCTAAGATTCAGGTGGTCTGGAGTTGAGAATGAGATTCTGTGTTTATAAAAAAGTTGAGGCAGACACTGATGGTCTTCAGATCACACTTTTAGTAGCAAGAATGTAGACCAGGATTCCCAGGTGGCTGTGCATCAGCCTCACCTGTGGCTTGTTATTCCTGGGATCCATGTTCCACTTCTGAGATGGTGGGTATGGGGAAAGGCCTGAGTATTTTTGTAAAAAATCTACAAGGAATCCTGGTGATCAGCCAGATTGGGAACCACTGAGGTCAGTGATCAACAGTGCCTAGGGTGGGAAAGGGTCTTAAGTCCACATTTAAATGCTATTTTTTCTAATTTAAACATAAAGGACTTCTATCTGTCTATCTATCTATCATCTATCTTCATTAGGCTGGTGTTTATTTTATTTTGGGAAGGTCTGTGAGAATAGGCTTAAAGCTACATAGCTAGAAGCAGCATCTATAATCCCATCCTAGGTGGAGTCTCACATAGGAATCACTGCCCCTGATGCTGGGCACAGATGTCACTGTTCATACCAATGACACTCTAAAGCTAGACACTGGACCTTGCAGATAGAACTGCTATCACGACTGCTCCTGGCAACTGGACATTGCTGCTGCAACTCACACCACACTTACTAAAATGTGTGCACAGTACCAGCTTATGTCACCAGGCTGAGTCAGAATCCAGCAAGTGGTTATCTGCCTGGTGGAACCTAAGCCTCATCCCATATCCAGCTGCCAGAATATTTGGAAAAGTGAGTTTTTCTTTCGTGGAAGAAGTTGGTGTCTGCTTCCTACAATGACTCTTTAAGTATGAAATTCTTTAAGTATGAAATCATACTCTTTAAGTATGAAATTCTCCCTAACATGGAGAGGGTTCAGGTGCTGGGACACAGGAAGATAGAGTGGAAAAAGAATGAAAAAAAAAGTCAATTCCTAGAGCAGTAATCTGAGACTAGAACCTTATCTGGTATATCATAGACACTTGGGTTTTGCTGAATGAATCAGTGACTAATTAATTACAACTTTCAATTTATTTCCTTGATAGTCTGTTATGAAGTACAACTTTTTCCTGATCAGTTTATACTCAGATAAGTAGAGTGGCACTGTGGGATGGTGAAATGATTGCTCAAAACTTATCTCTTGTTAGGATTTTTTAAAATCTAGATGTCTAAGACTTCAGAGGACCTGTGTATACACTAAGATTTTATACTAATATTTATATTTCTTTGTATATGCACATATTTTCTGGAAAGAATATCTGTGACATTTATGTTTTTGTAACCCTATTTTAGGAAACCCTCTCTCAAACCACATTTTCCCTCTGCTCTCATACCACAACAATCATCAACACAGAAGACTTCTGTGACCAAAGATGTGGGGGTTTTTCCCCACACACCAAGCAGTGGACACCAGCTGGGTATCCTCCAGTTCAATGTCAACACTGTCTACCTGGAGATAGCATCATATCCCACAGATTGGGGGCTTAGTCCCCAAGACTACTCCACATCAGACACCAATCGCAGAAGTTCCCACCACCCACTCTGGGCTTCACTAATTTGCTGGAGTAGCTCACAGAATTCAGGGAAACATTTATGTTTACTAGTTTATTATAAAGGATATTACAAAGGATACAGATGAAAATACGTGTAGGGTGAGGTATCAGGGAAGGAGCATGGAGCTTCCATGCCCTTCCTGGGCACACCAACCTCCAAAAACCTCCACTTGTTCAGCTACCTGGAAGCTCCCTGAACCCAGTTCTCCTGGGTTTTTATGGAAGCTTCGTGACACCAGCATTCCTTCTCCCAATGTATAGTGTGGGACCCTCTCCAGAGAGGGTCTTAAGACCCATAATCAGAAAGGCAGAAGATTAGAGTCCTGCCTTGGGGCAGGTGAAATGAGGCCAGAAGAGAGATTCTGATTCCTGAGGCCTGCCGAGGCCGAACACACCCAATATTATTACAAAAGACCGAAACAAGGGAATATAGGAGCTAGGAACCAGGAACTGTGGCCAAAAACCAATCTATAACACCACACACCCCCACTGTCTTAGTCCACTCAGGCTGCTATAACAGAATACCTTAGACTGGGTGGCTTATAAACAACATAAAAGTATTTCTCACAGTTATGGAGGCTGGTAAGTCCAAGAGCAAGGTGTTGGTTAATTTCATGTCTGATGAAGGCCCCTTTCCTGTTTCATAAACGTATATCTTCTCCAAGTGGCCTCACATGGCAGAAAGGTGAAGAGAACTGCCTGGGGTCTTTCTGATAAAGGCAGTGATCCCATTCATGGGGGCTCTGCATTCATAACCTAATCACCTCCAAAAGGCCCCACCTCTAAGTATCATCACACTGGGGATTAAGTTTTAAACATAGGAATTTGGGTGGGGGATTGGAGACACAAACATTCAGTCTAGAGCATCCATAAAAGTCTAAAAAATTATCCTAGGTTTGTCACCATGCTACTCAAACTCTGATCTATGAATAGCTGATATCAAACCATTTCTTCACAAACTCTCCCAAAAAGGAGAAAGGAACACTGCCCAACATATTCTATAAGGTATGTTCTATAAGGCTGGTACCAAAAGCAGACAAAACAATCACAAAAAAACTACAGATCGCTATTCATGAATATAGATGTGAAAATCTTCAAGAAAATACTAGCAAACAACCCAGCAATGTACAAAAATAATTATACACCATGACAAAGTGAGATTTATCCTAGGAATGCAAGATGGGTTTAATATCCAAAAATCAATTAATGTAATATATTATATCAATAGAATAAAAACCCACAATTATCTCAATAGATGCAGAAAAAGGTTTTGATCAAATTCGATACTCTTTCATAATAGAAACAGTCAACAGGTGGGCACATTGGCATGTGTCTATAGTCCCAGCTACTCAAGGAGACTGAGGAAAGAGAATCACTTGAGGCCAGAAGTTCGAGGGCATCTTGGGCGATGTGTTGAGACCATGTTACTTTAAAAAAAAAAGAGTCAACAAACTGGGAATTGAAAGGAACTTTCTCAGCCGGATAAAGGGCATCTATAAAAAAGCTACAGCTAACATCATACTCGTATTAGTCCATTTATGCATTGCTTTAAAGAAATACATGAAACTGGATAATTTATAAAGAAAAGAGGTTTAATTGGCTAAAGGTTCTGCAGGCTATACAGGTTTCTGCTCCTGGGGAGGCCTCAGGAAACACAATAATGGTGGAAGGTGAATGGGAAGTTAGTACATCTTACATGGCTGAAGCAGGAAGAAGAGAGAAGGGGGAGGTGGCACACATGTTTAAAAAGCCAAATCTCACTACAAAATCTCAACGAAAATTCACTATCATGAGAACAGCAAGGGGGAAGTCCACCCCCATGACCCAATCACCTCCCACCACACCCTTCCTCCAACACTGGGGACTACAGTTTGACATAAGATTTGGGCGGGTACACAAATCCAAACCACATCAATATTTAATGGTGAAAGACTGGTTGCTTTCCTCCTAAGATCAGCAATTAAAACAAGAATATCCACTCCCACTATGTCTATTCAACATTACCAAAGGTTCTAGCTAAGATAATTAGACAAGAAAAAAGCAATAAAGTATATTCAGATTGGAAAGAAAGAAGTAAAACTATATTCACAGATGACATGATCTTTTATATAAAAAAATGCTAAATGATCCATTAAAGAGCTATTAGAACTACTAACTTCAGCAAGGATAAAGGATATAACACCAGTATACAAAAATCAATTTTATTTCTAAACCCTTGCAATGACAAATCCAGAAATGAAATTAAGAAAACAATTCCATTTGTAATAGCTTTAAAGGAACAAAATACTTAGAAGCAAATTTAACAAAAGAAGTGCAACTCAAACATCAATGAAAGAAATTAAAAATCTAAATAAATGGGGTAAAGTTCATGGATTAGATTTAATATAACTCAATGATTATATTTCCAAACTGATAGATTCAGCACAATCCCTATCAGATTCCTAAATGACTTCTTCGTAGAAATTTGCAAACTAATTGTAAATTTATAAAGAAATTAAAGGGACGCAGACTATGCAAACAATCTTGAAAAAAAGAACAAAGGGCCAGGCACAGTGGCTCATGCCTGTAATCAATCGCAGCACTTTGGGAGGCCGAGGCAGGAGGATTGCTTGAGGCCAGAAGTTCAAGACCAGCCTGGGCAACACAGCAAGATCCTGTCTCTACAAAAAATAAAAATTAGCGGGGCATGGTGGTACACACCTGTCATCCCAGCTACTTGGGAGGCTGAGGCAGGGGGATTGCTTTAGCCTAGAAGGTTGAGGCTGCAGTGAGCCATGATTATGCCACTGCACTACAGTGTGGGTTACAGGGTAAGAAACTGTCTCTAAAAAATAAAAAGAAGGAAGAAAAGAACAAAGTAGAACTCATTCTTTCCAGTTTCAAAACATCGCATAAAGTAATGGTAATCAAGACAGTGTGGTACTTGCATAAGATAGACATAGATCAATAGAATAGAACTGAAATTCAGAAATAAAACCATGTGTCTACTGTCAACTGATTTTCAGCAAGGGTGCTGAGCACATTCAACGGGGGAAAGCACAGTCTTTTCAACAAATGGTACTGGGGAAACTTGATAGCCACATACAAAATGATGGAGTGGACCTTATGGTGGTTGAAGTGTGTACTCCGAAAGGTTTGTCTAAGACCTGACCACCAGTACCTGTGAACGTGAACTTATTTAGAAATGGTGTCTTTGTATATGAAATTAAGTTCAGGTTCCCAAGAAAAGATCATCCTGGATTTAGGGTGGGACCTAAATCTAGTGACTGGTGTCTTAATAAAAAAGAAGGAGATATGACATAAACAGAGAAGAGACACAGGCAAGAATGCCATGTGAAGATGAAGGCAAAGATTTCAGTGATGTATCTCCAAGCCAATGGAGCAACAACTACCAACAGCTACCAGAAGTTAGGAAAGAATCATGGAATGAACTTTCCCCCAGAGCCTCCAGAAGAAACTAATCCTGCCAACACCTGGATTTCAAACTTCTGGCCTCCAGAACTGTGACAGAATACATGTTTGCTGTTTTAAGCCATCAAATCTTGGCAATGTGTTACACAAGGTCTAAGAAACTAATACAGGCCTTTACTTCACACTATATACAAAAATAAGCTCAAAATGGAAGAAAGATCTAAATGTTAGTGGTGAAATTACAAAATTCTTGGAGGAAAACCTAGGTGATAAATCTTTATGAACTGGCCGGGTGCGGTGGCTCATGCCTGTAATCCCAGCACTTTGGGAGGCCGAGGCAGGTGGATCACAAGGTCAGGAGTTTGAGACCAGCCTGACCAACATGGTGAAACTCCGTCTCTACTAAAAATATAAAAATTAGCCGGGTGTGGTGGTGCACACCTATAATCCCAGCTACTCAGAAGGCTGAGGCAGGAGAATGGCTTGAACCCAGGAGGCAGAGGTTGCAGTGAGCCGAGATCACACCACTCCACTCCAGCCTGGGCAACAGAGTGAGACTCCGTCTCAAATATATATATATATATATATATATATATTTATGAACTCAGGTTGGACAATGGATTCTTAGATATTATGCCAAAGCACAAACAAAAGATATTAGATAATATTGAGAAAAATTAGATGTCATCAAAATTAAAATGTTTATGCTTCAAAGGACACTATCAAGAAAGTGATCCACAATATATACATATATCAAAACATCACATTGTACCCCATATGTGTATTATTTACTAATTAACAGTAAACATTTAGATCAAAAAATTAAAATAGTTTTAAAAATTAAGAATTTTTTTAAAAGTGAAAAAAACCCACAGGAAAGGAGAAAAGATTTGCAAATCATACATTTAACAAGAGATGTTTCTAGAATATATAACAATCTCCTACAACTTAATTGCAAAACACACATAATCCCAATTTTAAAATGAGCAAAGGAGTCCGAGCGCAGTGGCTCACGCCTGTAATCTCAGCACTTTGGGAGGCTGAAGTGGGTGGATCACTTGAGGTCAGGAGTTCGAGATCAGCCTCACCAACATGGTAAAACCCTGCCTCCACTAAAAATACAAAATTAGCTGGGTGTGGTGGCACACACCTGTAGTCCCAGCTACTTGGGAGGCTGGGACACAAGAATCGCTTGAACCCAAGAGACGGGGGTTGCAGTAAGCCAAGATCGCACCACTCCACTCCAGCCTGGATGACAGAGCAAGACTCCGTCTCTAAATAAATAAATAAAAATAGAATGAGCAAAAGATATGAACAGTCATTTCCCTAAAGAAGATATACAAATAGCCAATAAGTTCATAAAAAAGATGATCGACATTATTAGGGAAATGCAATTTAAAACCACAGTGAAGGCTGGGCATGGTGGCTCACACCTGTAATTCCAGCACTTTGGGAGGCCAAGGTGGGTGGATCGCAAGGTCAGGAGTTCCAGACCAGCCTGGCCAACATGGTGAAACCCCATCTCTACTAAAAATAGAAAAAATTAGCTGGGCATGGTGGCAGGTACCTGTAATCCCAGCTACTTGGGAGGCTGAGGCAGGAGAATTGCTTGAACCTGGGAGGCAGAGGTTGCAGTGAGCCGAGACCACACCACTGCACTCCAGCCTGGGCAACAGAGCGAGACTCTGTCTAAAACACACACACGCACGCACGCACAAACACACACACACACACACACGAGATACCACTTCCCAGCCAAAGAATGGCTAGAATCAAAACATCAGATAATAAGTATTGTTAAGGATATGCAGGAATGAGAACCCTCAGACACTGCTGGCAGGAATGTGTAATTATGTAGTCACTTTGGAAGGAGTCAGGCTGTGGCTCAACTGATTAAAAATGAAGATACCATACGACTCACCCATTCTTAGGTATATGTCCAAGAGAAATAAAAATGTGTCACACAAAAATTTGTAAATGAACATTCATAGATGCATTATTTGTATTAGCCAAAAGACAGAAACAATCCAGATGTCTATAAACCGATAAATAAACAAATGTGATACATCTATGGAATACAGTATTATTTGGCCATAAAAAGCAATGAAATACTGATACATGCTATAATATAAATGACACTTGGAAACATTAAGTGAAAGAAACTAGTCACAAAAGACCATATATGATTATATTTACATATGAATTTTCCAAAATAGGCAAATCCATACAGGTAGGACATAGATTAACTCTTGCTTAGGGTTTGGGGTGATGGGGAAGGGGGAATAAGAGAGTAATAGCTATAGGGCATGGGGTTTCTTTTTCAGGCGATGATAATATTCTAAAATTGAATGCAGTGATGGTTGCACATATTTGGGAATATACTTTAAAACTTTGATTGCATACATACTTTATTTTTTTCCAGATTTATTGAAGTATAATTGACAAATAAAAATTGTACAGTGTGACTTTTTATTTGTACATAATATTTGCACATATTTATGGGGTACATGTGATATTTTGATACACACATAGTATCTAATAATGAAGTTAGGGTACATAGGATATCCGTCACCTCAAGCATTTATTTCTCTGTGTTGGGAACATTACAAGTCTTCTAGCTATTTTGAAATACACAATATATTGTTGTTAATTATAGTCACCCTACTGTGCTATCAAACACTAGAACTTATTCCTTCTATCTGACTGTACGTTCGTACCCATTAACCTACCTCTCTTCATCACCCCCCTCACACACCCACAAACACACACACACACACACACACACACACACACCCTTCCCAGCCTCTGGATACTATCTTTCTGCTGTTTACCTCGATTAGATCAACCTTTTAAAGCTCGCACATGAGTGAGAACATGCAATATTTGTCTTTCTGTGCCTGGCTTATTTCATTTAATATCAGAACCTCCAGTTCTGTCCATGTTAGTGGAAATGACAAGATTCCATTCTTTTTATAGCTAAATAGTATTCCATTGTGTATATATGCCGTATCTTTTTAATCCATTCATCCATTGATGGACAGTTAGGTTGATTCCCTGTCTTTGCTATTGTAAATAGTACCACAGTAAACATGGGGGTGCCAGTATCCCTTTGATGTATCGATTTCCTTACCTTTGGATAAATACCCAGTGGTGGTATTGCTGGATCACACAGATCTATTTTCAGTTTTCTAAGAAATCTCCATACTGTTTTCCATAGTGGCTGTACTAATTCACCTTCCCACCAACCGTGTGTAAGAGTTTGTCTTTATATCCTAGCTACCATTTTTGTCTTTTTAATAATAGCTATTCTAGCTAGGGTAAGATGATATATTATTGTGGTTTGCTTTAAATTTCCCTGATAATTAGTGATGTTGAGCATCTTTTTCACATACATGTTGGCCATTTGTATTTCTTAAGAAATTTCTATTCAGATCCCTTGACCATTTTTAAGGGGATTTTTTTTTTTTTTTTTTACTGTTGAATTGTGTTCCTTGTACACTCTGGATATTAGTCCCCTGTTGGATAATTTGAAAATATTGTTCCCATCTACAGTTGGTCTCTTCACTCTGTTGTTTTCTTTGCTGTGCAGATTTTTAGTTTAATATAGTCCCACCTGCCTATTTTTTGTTGTTGTTGCCTATGCTTTTGATGTCTTAACCATAAAATCTTTGCCTAGACCAATGTTCTTGAGCATTTCCCCTATATTCTCTTTTAGTAGTTTCATAGTTTCGGATCTATCATTTAAGCCTTTAATCCATTTTTGGTTGATTTTTTAATATGGTAAGAGATATGAGCCTAGCTGCAATCTTCTGCATATGGATATCCAGTTTTCCCAGCACCATTTATTGAAAAGGGTGTCCTTTCTTGGTGCCTTTGTTGAAAGTCAGTTGGCTGTAAGTATATGAAATTATTTCTGGGTTCTCTATTCTTTCCATTGGTCTATGTGTCTGTTTTAGGCCGGTACCATGATGATTTGGTTTCTACTATAACAGTTACAAAGCTATTACTATAGCTTAACTATTGGATGGGGCTCTTTTGTGGTTCCATATGAATTTTTTTTATTTTTGAGATAGGGTCTCACTTTGTCACCCAGGCTGCAACACAGTGGCGCAATACCAGCTCACTGCAGCCTTAACCTCCTGAGGTTCAAGCGATCCTCCTGCCTCAGCCCCCTAAGTAGCTGGGACTACATGCACATGCCACCACACCCAGCTAATTTTTGTAATTTTTGTAGACATTTCACCAGGAACAAATAGAAAACTTGAACAGACCAACAATGAGTAATAAGACTGAATCAGTAATTAAAAGTGTCTCAATAAAGAAAAGCCCAGGACCAGATGGCTTTCCTGTCAAATTCTACCATACATACAAAGAAAAATTAATACCAATACTTCTCAAAATATTTAAAAAAAACTGAAGAGGAAGGAATTATTCTTAACTCATTTTATGAAGCCTGCATTGCCCTGATACCAAAAGCAGAGAAGAATACAAAAAAAAAAGAAAATTACAGGCCAATCTTCCTAGTGAAAATATACACAAAAATCCTGAACAAAATTTTAGCAAACTGAATCCAACAACATATCAAAAATATACCACAATTAATTGGGATTCATCCCAGGGATACAAGAGTGGTTCAACACACACAAATCAACAGACATTAACATTTTTTAATCTTATTTGAAAAGGTGGATAAAACTGAATTTGGAATTGGAAGATTTGTTTTGGGTCCCCACTCTGCCATTTCCAAACTCAGTACTCTATCAGAACTAAGTCACAGGGTGCTTGAGGGCTCAGAAGCTTTTGTCCAGCAGACAAGAAGGAACTGTTATTACACAGCCTTTGACCCTCTAGGGACTCCAGCAACCTCGTACTGAAAGGAGACTCCTTGTCTCCTTCTCTGGGGACCCTTTTGTTCAGAAATAAAACTTTCGTGCTGCAGGTGCCTTGAGGAGACGACATGTGGGTGATCTTTTCTAGAAGGCAGTGGAGTGAAAGTTTTGGGAAAAGTGACAGAAAGAGAAACAAATCCTGTACTGGAAGCTCACTGAAAACCAACTAAGTAAACAAATATTTTAGTACCTCAACTGAAATATAAGCATAAACAGAGGTTGACTATGATTGTACCTGGACAAGATGAGTAAAAAGCTAAAGTGGTCTGTTATCAGCTATTTATGTATTTTGGGCCTGTCTCCAGCAGTTAACAAATGTCCTTTCTTTCAACAAATATCTATTAAGAGGCTAACATGTGCCAGACTCTACAGAACAGGCTTACAGGCATAATGCCACAAAGGAACAGAAATCTAACAGGCTTCAAGATCAGGCCTGTCAAATAAATGTACCACAATTTATATATCATACATATATCTAGTACACAGTCACCAGAACATAAGATTAAACATGTTAATGTTTATCTAAGTATCATTTTTAAAAGAAAAATAAAACAAAAACTGGAAACAACTAAATGACATCAACAGAATATATAATTAAGTTGTGGCATATTCATGTCATGGAAATGAACTACAGTGTCACACATCAACATGGATGAATCCAAAAATAATAATGAGCAAAAGTAGTCAGTCATATACAGTATAATTCTATTTATATAAAGGCTATAAATAAGCAACTGTTAGGGATACACAGACAGTAAAATCTATAAAAGCTAGGTGACAGTTATACAAAATTCAGGATAGTGGTTGCCTCTGGCTGCAGGGGAGAGAGATATGAATGAGAGCATACGAGGCTCCTGGGATGTAGTAATGTTCCATTTCTCAGTCTGAGCAACGGGCACCTGGACATTTATTATTGTTCTTCTAAATATACATTTTCATTTGTGTATTGTATATTCTATTTCACATTAAAAAGAAAAAAGACCAAAAAAAAAACATTAAGTGTGACTCAAGATTTAAGCAGACACAGTGCAAAGAAATGAAAAGGTGGATATAATTTGAGGTAGATGATGGATGCAGGTTTGGACAAACTGAGTTCCTGAAACATAGACTTTTATTCTTAGCCGTATTAGGTGTGAAATTGCCCTGAGAGCACCAGTTGCTTTTATGCTAGATTTGGAGGGGAAAGAGGGCAGTTGAACTCAGCAATTTATGTGTCCAGCACTGAAAACCTTCATGGTAAACAATTACTAATAGGTTATATGTTAGGTTACTTTTCAGTCCCACTCAGCTCAAAGGGCTTGTCATTACCCTACTGATTTGCACTTCTAAGTCTTCTGCCTGTTGCATTCTGATGATCCATTTCTATGCAAAACATAGAATCTAAAGCTGAGACATAGCAATAGAGGACCAGAGAACAGACACAGCAACGAAGTTTCCATGAGGCAAATCAGGAGGGTAGGAATGAGATTTTGATGTGCATCCTGGCCAAATTCCAGAACTAGCAAAGAGAGGTCAGTTCCTAATTCCAATCAAAGCAAATTCAGTCATCTTATTTTCACACAGAAGTGGTCTACATTGATTTTTAAATCTCTTTAAGGGATTAGGGAGCCTCTGAAATGCAAAGGAAACTAAACTGATAGTAATGTAAAATGAACAGTGACCTATCATACCAGCAAACACTGTCAAAAACAGAAAGCTAATGGTGGGACTGGAATCTAGAACACAGAAGTTATGTTTATCCAGTGCTACACTGTGCAACAGGGTAGTCACTTGCCACATGTGGCAATTTAAATTTAAATGAAATTCAATTAAACATTCCATTCCACAGCTGCACCAGCCACATTTTAAATGCCTCAACAGCCACGTGTAGCAAGGGCTACTGTACTGAGGAGCACAGACACAGAACATTTGTATCAGTGGCTGACCTAGCAGTATCCAGGGTAAAGGGTGTTCTGCTAGTAAAGCAAGGTGGGCATCAGAATTATCACAACTTAAGCATAATATTCCTGAGGGCATCTATTTCCATTTATTTGCTTCTCTGCTTACCAACTCTGAACCCCTGCTTTCCCAACTTTCTGGTATCTGGGAAGAAAATAAACTGACTAGAAAACACAAATTTCATTCTGCTTGACAACTGTAATTCTCACTAAATTTATAAATTTGCTTTCTGATTTATCAATGAGCGCCAAAAACATGAGTTTGAGAAAGGCTGAGTTTGATTATCCCTGAGTGGATCCAAGCATTAGGAAGGTCTTGCTTAAGTGGGTGATAGGAAGTGACAAAAAAAGCTGGAAGAAACATGACAGACTATAATACTCCCTTCCCTAACCTTCCTCCTTTTCACCCTGCTCACCTGGGCCAGGTTAGAATCCGTCCTTTGTAAAGCACCCTGTACCTTTCTATTGTAACCTTTATTTACTACATTATCTGTTTATAGAGTGATCTATGCCATTAGTTGAAAATTATTCAAGGGCAGAGACTTCTCTTTATTCACCTTCAGTAACTAACATAATGCCTAGCATGTAGGAGGCTCTCAAAATTAAGTTTCTCATTCAAATAAATTGTACAGAGCAAGTTACACTTTTAGGGGCTGGCTAGTAGTTATCTGATGAAGGTATGATATTAAAGACCATATACTAAACTATAGCAATCTCATCAAAATAACCTTGGAGGGCTGGGAACAGGGAGAATAAGAGAAGTAGATTAGAACAATTCTTTATTCACCACCATTGCCCAACCCCGGTCTTTCCAAGTGGGGAAACTAACATTTATGAAACAACTAATACATACCTACACTTCACAAAAAAAACAGTCCTTCCATAAATGCCATCAAATATTATTGCCATTTTAAAGATGAGGACACTGAACACTAGAAAGGATATGCAACTTGAACAAATGCAAGTCAACTAAAAAAGTTAAGCTAATTTTCAAGTGCAGAACTATCTATCTGTATCTGATACAAATGGGAATATTCACTGAACCCTGGAGAGAATGAGCATTTGAAAAAAAAAAGGGTTCACTTAAGAGATATGATTTTATCATAACAGCATTGAAACTTTAATCTCTTATTTTTCCTATTTGACTTCTTAAAAAGGGTGGCATTGCCAAGAATTTTCTTTGATATGGTTTCACAATTGTATTCACCTTCTCTCCATTCTGAGACTTATCCATAAGAATACTCACTTTAATCCGACTTCTACTGCATGGTTGGAAAAGAAGATACGCAATAACTCTTTCAAACTCCTTTATCTCTTTTACTCTCTCATGCTTCTCATATGTAAGTAGCTGGCTCTGGCTTCTTCTCAAGATTCTCTCCTTGAGTCTTTGTTCTGCAAGTTCTCTCCCTCGAATCATGCGTTCCTGGTGATCCTTAGTCTGCATCTGTTCCCTCTCATTTACCTGCTTTCTTCTCTGTGCGTTCTGGATGCCATGCCCTTCTGGCATAATTTTTGGTAATTTTGTTTCATTGGGGGGTTGTAGTACTTGTCTAAATGGTTTGTTCTTAAATTCTCCAGCCTTTCCTGTTTGATGTATGTGCCTTTCTATGTGTTTCATCTCTCTCTCAGGTACCAAACAGTACTGTTTTAGTCCTTCTACGCTCTGGGTTGTTTTCTCCTCCATTTTTTTCTAGATTTCATTGCCTGTCTCTTCTTTCATCATTTCCACTATTATTTTATTATAATAAGACTCTGCTTTGGCAAGCCAGTAGTCAAGAGAAACAGCTTGCTCCCTACAGAGTATTTCACACTCCTCCTGATATTTCTGCATTATCAACTGTCTTGCTGCTGTTGTATGCACACCACCTAGATTCTGTCAAAGTGAAGTCAGAAATTTATAATGTGATCATCTTTTTCCTTTGAACACATTTAAACAGGAGCCAAGCCCACCCTCCCTAATGACACCAGGAAAAGCTACATGCTCTTTACTTTAGCTTAGTTGTTATTTTATTCCCATCACTCCCAGGTGAGCCTGGGAGCTCTGAAAGTATTAAGTACTCACCACCACAAATCAGTAACTAGGTTTAAAAATGTATGGTGTTGGAAGTTTCCAAAAATGATACTTTGTTTTGCAACTGTGGATATAGCTGGGTAACATTTGCCAGTGTAGACATACTACCTGAATGTGTCACTTGGGCAGAAGGATTTTAAACCTAAGATTCCTTCTCTGTGTAGTTCCAAACTGTATGATGTGAAGATAATTTACTTACCAAGATCTTTTTTTCCAGTGGAGACTGCTGACCTGCAGCAATCCTAGGATCTTTAGATGATGTACCCCAGGCCAATCTGGAAGATAAAAAAGGCAAGGTAGATTCAAATGTAGGAGGTGTCAGAACAAATCTGCTAATAGGGAGGACTACAGCAGGGCCATTTCCCCCATGGGAAACCACTGCATTCCTATGGTAGAAAATAATGAATGCTCTTTTAATAAGAGGATCTTTCCTTTCATATGAACAAGCATACTTTTCCTGTGGACTCAGCGTGAACCACTGTGAATCTCGTATTGGGGATTGTGAGTGGGAAGAGACATGCTCCTTGGTGAGGTGTTGTCCAAGTACATCTATGTCAGTCTGCTCAGTCCTCAAGCCTCCTTTGTGTTCTGAGACGATTGTAGGTTCTAGTTTTCTAGACGATTCTAGGTTTCTAGTTTTCTCTTCCTGCAGTTTCTTGATCCGGGCCCTCTCTGACTCTATCAGCACATACAGCATTTCTGCCCTCTAATCTTTTGTTCTGAAATTCTGTTATTTGACTGCTCAGCCCTCTGCTTGCCTGACTAACAATGCCAATCATCCTTCACTCTAAATCCATTATGAGACTATTCCCTGTTGAACCCCTCAGGATGGCAATTTGTGGTTACTCTGGGTTTATTTATAGAGGAGGCTGATGGCAACACAAATGAAAACTATCATCTTTTATGTGTCATCCCTGGTCTAGCCTGAGTTTACTGTGATGTCGTATTTAAGCCACTGAGGATGCCTGGCATTTCCTCTGTATGTCTTTTATACCATTTAGAGTTCAAAGGATGGTCTTTACAGTCTGACAGAGCTAGATCTGAAATCTAATTCTACCACTTCCTAGGTGTGTGACTCAGGGCAAGTAACTTCTGTCAGCTTTCTCATCTATAAAATGGAGATGTAAGACAAAAATCTGCCTCTCAGGGTTATAAAGAACAAATATGAATTAGATGTAAAGAGCTTGGTAAGTTCTCAATAAATTCTATCTATCTGTCCTTCACAGGTCAAGCTCCTGATTATAAAGTCTTTCCAGTCTACTCTGTCAGTGATCTTCCCTTCCTCTAAATACTTGACATATTTTAATTCTACAACTCATTTGAAAATTAATCGTGGTTTACACTGTGATATCTGTATTCACATATCACTTTTAACATTTTGATGCTGAAATTTAGGCTCATAAGGAATGAAAACTGTAATTTATATCTACAAATATGATGCCTCTATATTGTTGGAAAGGATCTGATATCAAATATTTGGTCTCACTGACCTCTTAGGAACATTCTTATTTGTCTACGTAAGCTTATTTTGAGATTGTAAACGTATGATCATCTTACTTTTACTTCTCTGTACATGGCTTCTAGCACAATACTTAACATTAGAGTCTGTGATCCCAAGTTCTCAAAATTAATGATTTGCTGATTGCTGATGATCCTTGACACATAATATCTGAGCATCTTTTTTAAATATCTGCCATAACATTGTATCTATTTTTATTAAGCCATTTCCCAGTCTTCCTTGAAGTTTACAGATATGTTTGCTTTATATGCATGTTCTGGGCTCTCACATTTTGTACCTACTAGCACAGTTTTATTATATTCTAATTATTCATTCATGTTCCTTGAGGTCAGAGAACACAGATTTCAACTTTGCAGGCTCAGCCTCAGCTCAAAACCTGGCATAGTTGCTCAATAAATCTTTACTGATTAGACTGTGAGCTTTTGTTGGGAAAAGGATATGCCTTTTAATGCTTTGTTCCTTTACTGCAATTCACAGGGGATGTTGGCTGTTTTTCAAATTAAAAACAGAAAACTGAGGAGGGTAGAATTTCAAGTTCCATTTTCAAAGGAGACACACAGATAAGTGAGAATAAAAACTGTCTACGACAATCAGCTCAACAACACGTCTCCCTTTGTAAGACAGAATAACAAGCAATTTCACAGTTAAGTGATAGGGCTTGTCACTCTTCAGCAGTTTGCTGAGTTTTAACCCTTTCACTATGGCGTTCTCTCCATTATTACAGAGAAAGGCAGATGGGAGCCTCTCCCAGCGAAAAGACTACAGCTTGTGTCCTTCATAGGAGAAAACAGTGATGGCTCCAGAACTTTTATATGAATGAACTTAGCACAGCTATCAGAGTGGATGGTGGTGGGAGGGCTAGCAGGAAACTAGTAAACAACTACAAGCTGCCCCTTCAGGGAAAGTTTCTACTTGGAATATAAGTTACAGATTAATGAAAATAGAAAGATTTCCCAAAGATACTTATTCTCATGTTTTATAAAAGATCAGGGAAATGTCAGCTGTCCACTTAACGGATGACATAATGAATTAAGAGTTCGATAGGCGGCAGGCACAACTAAAAGCCAAACTCGACCTAAGTCTTATGAAATCCTACTTAATGAGCTTTCTTGACTACTGCTAGCCTCACTTATCTGGCAGGAGTCGAAGGAGAGGAAGCCCCAAGCTCCTCTGTTCCACCACCTCCAAAGTCCTGAACCCCTTCTCAAGTGTACCACTTCATCCCTGCTTCCTTTCGTCCCGTGGGACTAAGCATTCCTCGGGCCTTCACTCTCACCACTTGCTGTCCCTCAAAAAGCCGACTCACCCCTTTCCAAGCGCAGTGAACCGTCCGCAAAGCACGAGGCCGGTTGCGAGCTGCAGAAAGCCCACGCTCGCCAGCGGGACCCAAGGAACGCTAGAACTATACGTCCCAGAACACTTAGCTTTGTTTTTAACTACGGTGCAGCCGCAAAAGGGAAATACCGGCTCAGGACCCAGGGGAGTTGTAGTTCTCTAATCCAAAGAAATCATTATTTGGCAACGTACGGTTTTCAGGGGGATATACCCCGCGACTGCGTTCCTGTAGGATGTGAGACAAAGAGAATAAGTATCCCAGGATTGGGTGCTGGTGGGAAAATTTGCTGGAAGCGCAGCATTGGTTACCAATTTTGTGCTCAACCTCTCAGTACCAGGGTGAAAGTGGAGACGCAATCTCCCTTGGAAGACGTTAGTCTCCATCTCTAACGCTCCCGAGACACGGTTCGCAATTAATTATGACGTCACAGCCAATCGTCAACGCGAAAGCCTGACGCTCTAGCCGGCTCTATCTCGCTGCCCCGCCGCGGGCGCAGAGCTGGCGCTCTAGCCCACGGAGTTGGTTAACTCCTCTCACCGGCCCCTGGAAAGGGTTCCAAGTCCTTTAGTACCCGACGCTGTCTGGGAATTCCGGGCGTTTCGGCTCCTTGGTCGCAGAGGCAGGAGGCGTGCGTGGCAGGAGGGTTCGGGTTATATACTCCTAGGTCCTGGGACAGAATAGTTACGACCTCTGGGACAGGAACTCTTCTCTCTTTTGTTAATAAACTTCCAACTCCCTCCTCAGACCCGACCGCATGTCTGTCATGGACCTCGCCAATACTTGCTCCAGCTTTCAGTCGGACCTGGATTTCTGTTCAGATTGCGGCTCGGTCCTGCCTCTGCCCGGGGCTCAGGATACGGTCACCTGTATTCGCTGTGGCTTCAACATCAACGTTCGGGGTGAGAGGCTTGTACGCAGGGGTCCTGGCGGAGGGCGCAGGGTCGGAAGCTTGGGGAACTCAAGATCGGTTGGGTTGAGGAGGGGATCCTAGAGCAGGACATCAGGCGGTTGTACATTTGGTCTAGCGATGAAAACTGAGGGAAAGGATGTAGGGCCTCCTGGCCTAACCAGCCAGGGGAAAGGGGAGGTTTCCGGTGTCAGCTCTCTCTGGTTGTCTCCATAACCAGTTCTTACTTGCCTGTGCAGACTTTGAGGGGAAGGTTGTGAAGACTTCGGTTGTGTTCCACCAACTGGGGACAGCCATGCCTATGTCGGTGGAGGAAGGGCCTGAGTGCCAGGGACCTGTGGTAAGCTAATGAGATCAAGAACTGGCTCCATAAGGTGGGTAGGAAAGAAATGGAGGAGTGATTGCAAAGCTCTGGAGAGTTTTGTGCCCAATTCCAAGAGGGAAAAGAGATGTAAACCATCGACGTTTGAGAGGCGTGATCGCCTGATTCCTGTGGGAAGTAAGGGGATATGACCAGGCCTCCCTAACCCACCAGTTTCTTCCCAGGTTGACAGGCGCTGCCCTCGATGTGGTCATGAAGGAATGGCATACCACACCAGACAGATGCGTTCAGCCGATGAAGGGCAAACTGTCTTCTACACCTGTACCAACTGCAAGTGGGTATTCTTTCCCCTCCCTCTGCTCAGTCTGTTTGCTAACTAAACAAATCCAGTGATTTATTTTTTTGTACGAAATGGCCGTTTCCCTTGGTCCCATCCCTTATTTCTGTGCAGTTCTGGTAATAGGGAGATTTGTAGTTGTTTTTTATTTTTTTAAGTTACACTTTTTTAAACCTTTTTATAACCAGTGAAATAAACCTTTTAGGATTTTTTTTTTTTTTTTTTTTTTTTGACAGGGTGTCGCTCTGTCACCTAGCCTGGAGTGCAGCGAGGCAATCTTGGCTCACTGCAACCTCCGCCTCCTGGGCTCAGGTAATCCTCCCACCTCAGCCTCCAAAGTAGCTGGGACCACAGACACATGCCACCACGCCTGGCTTTTTTTTTTTTTTTTTTTTTTTTTTTTTGTATTTTTAGTAGAGATGGGGTTTCTCTATGTTTCCCAGGCTGGTCTTGAACTTCTGAGCTCAAGTGATCCACCCACCTCAGCATCCCAAAGTGCTGGGATTACAGGCATGAGCCACCCCGCCTGACCTACTTTTAGGATATTTAAAAGGAAATGAAGAAAAAAAAAACAACATAAGAAGCAGGTATTGTTTAGTGGTCAGCATCTTATACTGCAGTCTTCAACCGCAGTCAAGGTAGCTTTCTTTGGAGAGAATTAGTCACACATGACTTAGAGAACATGGGCTTTCTGAATGCTTTTAAGACCTCATTTTTGTCTTTGGTGTTCTGCAGTCACTATAGTATATCAAAATACGATTTTCTTTTATTCTGTTTGGGATTTGTTGGACTTTCTGAAACTGAGAGTGGACTTTTTTTTCATCAACCTTGGAAAATTATCAGCCATCATCTCTTTTAATATTCTCTTTCCCCCATGTTCTCAGTCCTCACATTCTGGACCTCGAATTAGTTACTAGAAAGAGGTTTCTCTCTTCTGTCCTCCATTTCTCTCACCTTCTTTTCATATTTTCAATTGCTGTTCTCTTTATGCCACCTTCTGAGTAATTTCTTCAGGTCCCTCTTCCATGTCACTAATTCTGTCTTCAGTTTATTTCAAGTATTATTATTTTTTACTATTGTTATTATTTTGAGTTCTATTTAATTACTTTTCAAATCTCCTTAATTTTTAAATAATTATCAGTTCTTTAATCATATTTTAAATTGTTCCTTTTATTATTCTTTAAATATATATTTAAAATATTAAATATGGTTATTATATTCTATGTCTTATAATTCTGATATCTGCGGATTTTGTGTGTCTGATGCTGCTGTCTTTTGTTTCTGCTGTCTCTCTCATAGTGCTTTTTTTCTTTGTTTTGTGATTTTTGACTATAAATTCGAGTTTTTTAGAACTTGAACTGTAGGAATTCTTTGAGGCCTTGGGCGAGTGCTGTATTCTCAGCATTTGTGTTTCTTTTCTAGGTGCCTTGAAGCACTATCAAGCTGGAATTACTTTAAATAAATTCTTGGCTTCATGTTTTTTGGAGCAGACAGATAGTATGAATTTGAGCTGCAAATCCATGTAAGGGCTAGCTTACAGTTAGAAATTCTCAGGAGAGAGTTTTCTCTCTTTCTACCTACTGAGACAGTCAAATTCCCCTTCTATAGAGTTGAATTTTTTCTTTTCTTGTTCACTTTTACAAGAAAGGGCAGCCTTTTGCAGTTCCCAAATTTATGCACGGGATCTCCTATCAGACCTTATACATTTTGTCCCTCATTTCCTATGCTTCCAGTGACTGTCAAAACAGTATAAAGGGCACCATAGTGTCACTGTCACGTTTCATAGGGACATTAGTTTTAACTTCCCTGTCTGGATTTCTGGTTTTACAGAACTTTTAACCAGTGTGCAGATTGCCTTTACTTTCTTGCCATCTCATCAAAGGATTAAAAATATTCATAGTCAGATATATCTTTTAAAAGTATTTTTTTCCTATCACTGGTTGTCATTTTACCAAAAAAAAAAAAATTTTTTTTAAATAAAAAGAAGATTTTTTTTCCCAGCGTGTGGCTTGCCTATTTTCTTAACCCTCTTTAAATGAGCAGAAGTTTTAAGTTTTTATAAGGTTCAGCTTATCCTTTTTTTTTTCTTTTACAGCTAGTGCTTTCTGTGTCCTAAGAAATCTTTGCTTTGAGGTTATAACTCATTGGATATATTTTTAATCCCAGAATTTTTAGTTGTCTTGGAATTAGAATTGGAAGTTTGTTTAGGGGAGCCAGTCCTCAATGATGTCATAAATAAAAGTCCTTCCTTGATTATTTGATTGCATATCTTATCTTATACTACTAGAAACTCATCTTTTGGTGAATATAACAAGTCCTTTCTTTCCTCATAGGTTCCAGGAGAAGGAAGACTCTTGACCTTTTTCCTGGGCAACTCTACAGTCCCTCCCTCCTTTCGGAAGGTGAAGGATACTGGGTTTTTAGATGCCTTGTCCATCCTGTCTGGTTGCAATGTTTTGCTCCCAGAAGAGAATCAGATCATCATGTGGGGATTACCATTGTTCCTGGAGTACTCCTACCCTTAGTTGAATTTCCTTATTAAAGTTATATTTTTCTATAAGACCCTGACATATGTATGTTACTTATAATCTGTCTTATTCCAAAAGGAATTTAAATGAGTTTCCAGAGATATATTTATATGAAAAAGAAAAGGGGGAAAAATTAGGACAAAAAAGTAGAGTCAGGAATGAGGCTAATATAAACAAAAAGCAATTGTAAGTATTGCCATACTATTTAAATCTATTTGGTTCCTGAGTTTAGGTTAAGAAAAACTAGGAATTTGGATAGTGAGACATTTAACAGAAATTTTAACCAGATCTCTTTAGCATATAAATTTGGACAACAAAAAATCTGATACTAAGTAATGCCACTAAGTGATCACTATAGGTGAGTATTTTATTAGTATTGAGATAAATACAATACACAGTTGACCCTTGAACAACACAGGTTTGAACTGCTTGAGTCTACATATATGTGGATTTTCTTCTACTTCTGAGACCCATAAGATAGCAGCACATTTAAGCCCTCCTTTTCCTCCTCCTGAGCCTACTCAACATGAAAATGTGATCCACTTCTACTTAATGAATAGTAAATATATTTTCTTTTCCTTATGATTTTCTTAATAATGTTTTCTCTAGCTTACTTGATTGTAAGATTATATGTATTATAAGTATATAATACATATACAAAATATGTGTTAATCAACGGTTTATGTTATTGGTAAGGCATCTGGTCAACAGTAAAGTTTTGGGGGAGTCAAAAGTTATATATGGATTTTTGGCTGTTCAGAGGGTCAGCACCCCTTACCCCCATGTTGTTCAAGGATGAATTGTATATCTATTATAATAGATTCTTATATAGAAAGAAAGAAAAAAGTAAAGTCACAAGGAATCCTACTCCACAGAGATAACCAAATTATACTGTATATCTGTGCTTGTGTATATGTATGTGGCTCTGTATATGTGTGTTGCTATATATGTGTTTGGTTTTTTTAATGGACTAGACATGCTGAACTATATCTTGCTTTTTTCTGTTTGAACTAAAAACTTTCAAGGGGAACAAATGCATACTCAGGTCCCGCATTCCTTGGCTCAAATAGTGATCAAGGGGTTACTGTAATAATTATCATATAATTGTGTGGCCCTTTATATATATTCAGAGCTCTCAAACATAGCTATCTTGTTTGACCCCCACAGCAACCTGGAGAATGGGCAGGGCAGTCTTCCCCACTGTACGTTTGAACTGTTCTGGCAGTTGACTTTCCTGACACACTCCTGAAATCTGAAACAAACCTGTTCATGTTTCTACCCTACTTTAAGCCTTTCTCTGGCCCATAACAGTGATTGGATTAAGCTTAATTTCTTAGCAAAGCATACAGGTTCTTCCATATAACCACTGCCTACCTGTCAAGCTTCATCTGGCACTCCCTCAGATCCAAGCGGTACAAAACTCCATTTCCTGTAGTGCACACATCTACAACTTTTTAAGCTGCTCTTCTAAAAAAACCTACTTGTCGGCCTTCCTGGTTCTTGTTTTACCACTTTCTTTTGCTCTCTAAGAAACGTGCATATATTTTTATAAAATAGCCTATACTGTAATTTACGACCATTTCTCTGCTTCATCCTACTCATCACCCCAGAGAGAACGAATATGTTGGCAGTATGTAACTACATTCAGATTTACAAATCAGACATGGCATTTGTTAATGCCCCAGTGTTTCATATTTTTGTTAGTTTTCAGCATGCCTGTCTTTCCTACTAGAGCTAAAAGGCAGGGTCTGAGCGTCTTACGCGCCTCCATCTTCAAGGCGTAGCACAGTGACTGAAAAAAACTGACGTTGAACGTGCACTAAACTGAACTGCTCAAACACCTACAGGCACAGGGCGAGGGGTAGAACCACATCGCTTGACTCTTAAGTGTGTTTCCAACTGCTCCCACTTCCCGTTTTCTTTAGAGAAACCCAGACCAAACAAGGAAAGGGAAATAGGCCACGGTAGGGTCATTACTATTGCTCCTTAAGCTTCCTCGCCGGTCCACCTACCCAGACAAGGCAAACGGAAATCTGCAGCAGGACTCAGCTTGGTGCACACAACTCCGCCCTCGCCACACCCACTCTGCAGCGTCTGGCCCGGCAATACCCATCTGGGCGCCCCTCCTGCTTCCTCTAGGCTGTGAGTACGCGTGCTGCCCCAGACTCTCCCTCCTCCACCCACACCCGCAGTGACACCCCTTCCGCCAAATTTGTTTCTCTTTCTTTCAGCGCCTGCGCGCTGTCACGTTACGGCGGAACTAATCCAGCGACGCCTGCGCTTTGACGCATTTGGTGCCGTGGAAGGGAAAAAGGGGGACTGCAGTATGCGTCACACCCGGAAGCGGCGAGCCGGAAGTGGGGTTAGCCAGGTTATCCCCAGGGGTGGAGAAGCGGAGGCCCAGGAGGAGGGGGAATAAAGAAGGTGGAGGATCCTGGCTACCACTCTGAATCCGATACCGCTTCTCTTAGACCTCAGCGACAGAAAAAGGGAAGGGTGTCTCATCCCCCTTCCTCCTCTCCTCCCTGTCCTGAGCCTTAGCCATGGCCGAGGCAGGGGCTGGGCTGAGCGAGACCGTCACTGAGACAACGGTTACCGTGACAACCGAGCCCGTGAGAAAGGCGGGGGGGCGGTGCTGTTTAGGGGTCTGGGAGATACTGGGAGGGAGGGGACAGGGATTAGAAGAGTTGTTGGAGGAGCTAGGCCTAGGGATATGGGAGGTGTGGGGTTGAATATCTAGGGCTGGGAGAATCGGAAGGTATTGGAGCTATTTGGAGTGGCAGAGATGGTGCAGGAGGCAGGTCAAGGAACTTGTAATAGGGAGGTACAGTTAGGATATAGGTGTTGCTGCTTGGGGTGGTTATGTGTGTAAGTAATAAACGAAAGGGAAATTGAGGATTAAGGAGCCAGGAAGATGTTGGGAGGAAATCAAAGGTAGTGTAAGAAAGCATGGTTGGAGGCCAACTTATCAATATTATCAATATTGATATTCGAATAAATATTTATTGAATGGATGAATGTAAAAGGAAGTGGCAGGAATGAGGAAACAAGAAAAGGAGATGAAAAGAGGTATTTTGAGAAATCAGAGAGCAAAGATGTAAATGGAGAAACAAGAAGTATTTATCCAAAAACATGTTAAGTTGCCTTCAAAGGGAGAAGGTTGCATTGGGCTTAATACTCTTGGATTAAAGGAAGTTTAGTAATTAATAGATTAGTAATACTTGCTACTAGAGATGCCAGGATGCCAGAGAATAGGTGGATAAGAGGTAGGGAGGGCTGGAGCTTGAGAATGAGAGAGGTTTTGTTTGTTTTTTTAAGAGAAAAAGAATAGGGGATCTGGAAAAAGGAAGGGAGATCAAAGATTAGGTGCTGGGGACTGAAAAATAATTTTCATGTATTAATACTACCAAGGATGATTTGGGGAGGAAGACGGAGAAACAGCAAGGATTATATTTTCCTTTGAAGAGTTGCTGGGACCTTTCCTAGGTTAGGAATTGTGTCTTCTCTTATACTGGTGGTATAAGAACAGGAAATAATACTTATTCCTCAAGGGACTATCTGAGGTAAAAGACCTGTTCTGTTTTATCTTCTGTCAGCTCCTCTGGTGCTATGCCTATGGTACTGATTGAGCTAAAGAAGAAAAGAGAGGAGGTTCCCTGGGAGGGAGTGGGAAAGGTTAGTAAGAGGGGACTAGATAGGTATGCTCATCCTTAACCTTCTAGGAGAACCGGAGCCTTACCATCAAACTTCGGAAACGGAAGCCAGAGAAAAAGGTAGAATGGACAAGTGACACTGTGGACAATGAACACATGGGCCGCCGCTCATCCAAATGTGAGTAATTGTTGGCCCGCAGTAGCCCTGGAGTTCTGGCTCCCTTCAGCATATCTTGTATCTACTCATATCCACTGGCTTTCCAGAAGCCCCCAGATGTTCATAGTTCTGTCACTTTTTTGGTGGTGCTGTGGTATCAGGGAAAGAGGTAGGGAAGGGCTAGAACTGGAATTGCCTAGGTCTGACAGCAAGAAGTGTCAGAGGTGGGAGAAGTGGGGCTTTGAATTCGTGGCTCTCTAAGAGGACAAGAGGGGTGGGGCCTGAGTCCCAGAGGGTGGGCCTGGGGAAGCTGGATCCTGGAAGGTAGGAGAAAATAGGAATTTTCACTGAGTTTGAGTGGGAATGGAACTGACTATATATCTTACCCTTCCTCCTCTTTAACTGGGCTCCTCCCTCTAAATCTAGGCTGCTGTATTTATGAGAAACCTCGGGCCTTTGGCGAGAGCTCCACGGAAAGTGATGAGGAGGAAGAAGAGGGCTGTGGTCATACACACTGTGTACGTGGCCACCGCAAAGGACGGCGTCGTGCAACCCTAGGACCGACCCCCACCACCCCTCCCCAGCCTCCTGACCCTTCCCAGCCCCCTCCAGGGCCAATGCAGCACTAAATCCCTCTCTCCTCCAGCATTCCTGTGTCTGTCTGGCCCTAAATGTATCCATGTGGCTACTTCTCCAGCCCCCTCCTTCCCTCTCTTCTGCCTGATAGAGGGAAGAGGAAGAGGAGGACGAACAGAGATCCTGAAATTCTGACTTGCTGCTATTCCAGAACCCAGCCTCCTGGGTTTCCCCAGTCCTCATTTTTCCTCCCAATACCCACCCTTCTCTCTCGAGGGATCTAGGCACCTTGGTCCCAGTGTCTTCCTTTTGTTCTCACTGCCAAACTGCCTGTCCTGGGATCTAGTTATCTTGGCCCTGCACTCTCAACATGAGTAGCGAACACTTAAATTGGGTTTTCAACAGTCCCAGCTTTCACTGCCAGGGTCCCAGTCAGATTCCAGGAATTTGCGCCCTAACTTTGCTTGCTAATCCTGGTTTAGAGCTATCCCACTAAAATATTTAATCCTAATTCTTAGTCCTTGCCTGTGAGATATGAGGTCTTACAGGAGACCTCAGAGCTCCCAGCCCTTCTCCTCCTGCTAACCCTTCTCACACCCTCAAGAGGAGTTAGAAAAGAGGTCCTTGTCATTCTCACCTCTTATGGAAAATGGAATAAGAAATAATCATATCCTTTCTTCCCACCCTTCTCCTGTTATTTAGGATTTCTGACAAAGCTGGCTTGAGATTGGTCACTTAGAGCCGACTGTCTCCTCTGCCTTTTGTTTTTCAGCTTCAGAGACAGATCCAATATAGTCCCAGGGACCTGGGTCTCTGGGAGAGGAAGGAAGAGGGAGGGAGCAAAGAGATTGGGGTATGTCCCCTGTAGTACACTCTTACCTCTTACTTCCTAGACTTTGATTTCTCCGGCAGCCCAGATGTTCAGTTCTCTTGGCCCCTCTCTACCCCTTACTGGGATCTGGTTTTCATTTTCCGGTCCTTTTGCCATACACAGTTACAGAGATCAGTCAAATCCATACCACCACTGAGATCTCATTTATTGCCACAGATGCACAAAATAAATAACCCAAAATCACAAAATGTGTTAAATATGGGCCCATTTATACTTATGGGGAAGGGTGTGAGACTATACACAAGGATGAGTTTGGAGATGTCTGAAGTATTCCCAGGTTGAGGAGGAGAGAGGGGAAATAGCACCATTGGTTCCTTTCCGTGAGTATGTGCGGGGAGAAGTTTCAAGAAGGTTCTTATGGAAAAAAGGCTGTGAGCATAGAAAGCAGTCATAGGAGGTTGGGGAACTAGCTTGTCCCTCCCCACCCCCAGATCCTGCAAAAGAGGTACAAAGCTTCCCAGAGGGCCACAGGGCCCAGACCAGAGTCAAGCCTCTTGTTTTAGGAGAAACCTCAGTGGACAGGCAGGGTAGCCCAGTCCTTAGATCTGTGGGGAAGGCCCTGAGCCCTTCTGGAGCTAGGAGTGGCAAGAGTGGGAGTCAAGTATTTGACCAGCAGAGCCTCTATGTAGGAATCATGGTCACTTTACCAATACTGATGGGGAGGGCCTGTTCCCCATTGCAGGCCTAGAATGGTTTGAATGGGAGAAGTCAGGAAGTACTGTAGTAGCTGTAGGGGAGAGAAGATTCTGAGAGCCAGAAGGCAGGAATGGATTTGGTTTTGAGCAGGGACGTGGAAACGTGGAGACCAGGTGAGGTCTCATTATTTTGGGGCGAAAATGTGGGTTGCTATTAATACTCCTGCAATGGGCGTGTGAATGTGTTCCCAGAAATGAGTGGGGAATTCCACCCCCAAAAAGCAGCTGCAGGGCCAGTGGCCGGGCCAAACTTCTAGTTGGAGACGAGACTCAGCTTTCCGCTGGTACAATGCGGAGCGGAGCACGAGGGTCGCAGGTGCAGAACAGCGGGAAGATGCGCTCCCCCAGGGGGCCAGGCGCCTGGAAGGCGTAAAGCAGGTCGAGTGAGCGGCCGTCGTAGAAGGCCACGCGGCCCCGCTCCCAGTCCAGGTCCACGCGAATGCGCCGCGGCGGGGGCTCAACACCGCCCAGCAGGGTGGGTTCGGGTGCCGTGAGGGCCCACAGGCGGCCGCCGCGGCCCTCCACGGCCCACACGGCCCCCGCAGGGCACAGCCTTACGCAGCCCTTGCGTTGCACTGATTCCCCGGCCGCGCCCACTGCATAGTGGCTCTCCTCGTCGTCCGCATCCTCCCCAGAAGAGTCTCTGCAGGAGGCGGCGTCCGCAGTCTCCACCTCCCAGCAGTGGCGGCCGGCCCCGAAGCCCTGCGCACCCAGCACAGCTGGGAGCTGATCGAAGCGCTTGGGGCCGTCAGGGGGCGCGGGCGTCCCTGGTGGGGCCAGTTGTACGCTGCGGCGGTCGGCGGAGATGAGCAGGCGGCGGTGTGCGGTCCCAGGGTCCAGGGTCAGGTCGGCTGGAGACGGGGAGGCAGGGAGAGGACCTCATGAGAGAGTTTTCTAAATCACAGGCGGGGTAGGGTGGAGAATAGTCAACGAAGATCACGTAAAAGACTGAGAGCTAGTGACCACACAACAGCTCAAAAGGCGACTGCAGGACCAAAAAGAAGGAAGGCATATGAAGAGCAGACCTGGGCAATATCAGACCTTGTACTGATGCACCACTTCTGTAGAATTGGACCTGGGGAAGGATCATACTGGCCCAGTGCAGGGAGCACAGCAGGAAGATCAAATGAGAGGTTGTCTCGTTTGTGGGGTTGGGGGAGGAAGAGTGAGGCTGATCTGACTTCGAGGGAGGAGTAAGGACTGATACCTCAATCTGCATCATCTGGGGTGGGGCATGGGAGCTGGGTCAGCAAAATGGGGAAGGTTCATCTAAAGAGAAAGTCGTACTGATACTGGAACCTCAAGTAATGGGAGGGGCACAGGGAGGAATCCAAGGTATCCTGAGAAACCAGCCCACCCACCCACAGGAATTGGGGGGTGGGGTGGACAGTCCTATTTCTGTAGGGGTTGTGGGGCAGAGGAGGAGAGCAGGTGGTGATAGCCAGAGACCAGAAAAAGAACCATTGACCTTATATGTATGGGGTGCTTTGAAGAAAAATTTCTGGATTAGGGGTGTCAGAAGCAATCTGGACTGGGCAAGATGGTGGATGACCAAGATGGTGGACCACCTTCTCTAGGCAGTTTAAAGAAGGGTAGAGGCACCCTTCTTCTTGGGAGTGAGTGAGGAAAGAAGGGTCAAGGAGATGCTGGGGTCCCCTTCCAGGGAGGAGTGATGAGAGGTGGTGGAAGCAGAGATTTTTGAGAGGCACCTAACCTTCAGGGATCTGTTGTTTGAATGTATGAAAAAGGAAGAGGGAAAATGGCTGGAATATGAGGAATCGAGGATAGACATTGTTATAGGCTGAACTGTGCCCTCCCCCACTCCACACACACACACAAAGATAGGTTGAAGTCCTCCAAACCTCAGAATGTTACCTTGTTTTGAAACAGGATCTTTACATAGGTAATCAAGTTAAAATGAAGGTCATTAGGGTGGGCTCTAATCCAGATTGCTGACTTACAAAAAGAGGAAATTTGGACACAGAAACAAATGCATACAAAAGAAAATGTGCAGACCTATCACCCAAAGAACATGTGAGGCTACCAGAGGCTAGGAGACAGGCATGGAACAGATTCTGTCTCATGGCCGTCAGAAGGAACCAACACTGCTGACACCTTGATTTCAGACTTCTACCTCCTGAACTTTGAGATAAATGTCTGTTGTTTCAGCCACCTACTTTGCGGTGCTTCATTAGAGCAGTACTAGGAAACTAATGCAGACATCAAAAAGGACCTGATCACTTTTTAGGGCTAAAAGGAAGAAAATCTAACACAGACTTTCATTCAATTCCCTTCCCTCCCTTCTTCTTTCCTTACCTGTCAGTCTATGAAGCATTTTTTTGACCACTGGATAATCTTCAGGGAGATCATCCTCTGAATTAGATGACTTGGATGTTGGGACTTCAAATCTACACAGATGAGGGGAAGGGTCAGGAAATCAGCCCTCTGATCCTAATGCCCCCACGCATACCCCACTCACATCTCTGGAGGAAGAAGGGATGAGACTATACCCCAGAAAACCTGCCTATTAATGGGAACAAAGGTGTGGGCCCAGTGAGAACGTGATGGCTATGGCAGCTGGTGAGAAAAGGAGGGAACAGAAAAGTGGAACTCACCGTCTCCATGTCTTCCTCATATCCTAGGATGGGCAGAAACAAACATGGATGTGAGCTCTGGGCTTCATTCCCTGGGGCATCCTTCCCTATCTCTCCCCTCCTCAGGTGAGTTCTGTCTGAGTTAGCAGTGTCCCTCCTCACCTTTCAGAGTGATCTCACCTCTTTACACACTGTGCTCCTTTCCCTCTCATTCTCCTCCTTCACCTTTCATGATCCCTCCTTCCTCTCACCCCATCACTTTTCCCTCATCCTCCTAACTCCATCCCCACTGTCCTCCCCCTTTCCACTCCCCAAGGGTTCTCAATTCTCTTTTCCCAGGCTCGTCCGTGACTGTTTCTTGTCCTCAGAGCCCTTGCCTTCCTTGCTGCCTCCTCAGTCCCATTCTCTGTCTCTTTCAGCGGCCCCATCCTTATCTACCTTCCCCAGTGCATCCCAGAAAAACATCTGTCCCTTCCTCCCTCCATCACACAGACCAAACACACACCCAGAGCCCTCGGGCTAAGAGTTGGTATATAAAAGCCTTACAATAAAGCTGCTTCCCCTCTTGCAATAAAAGCCCAGTGGCATTTATTGGGCCCTTTGCTTTGTGTCTCTGGACCCTGGCCAGGGAGGCAGCTAGACTTGAATGTGTCCCAAAAGGCCCAGCAGATCCACAGAGTACTATGGGAGCCAGGAGAGGGCACTGGATGCTCCCCTCCAAACACTGGGATACCGACCCCTCCACTTCACTGTCTAGTGCTGATGGCTGGAGCAGGCCGATATGGTGGAGCGGGGGAGAGAGAAACAATTTGCATAATTGTGCCAATTACTTTCAGACTAATTAGGTCTATGAAGACTTCAAAGGGCAGAAGCAAGACCCAAGACCAGCTTGGCTGCTGGGAAGAAGCCAGTCAGGAGTCCCAGACGCCCAGGGGTCGGTCGGGCAAGGGAATGGGCTGGTTAGTGGCCAAGGAGCCGGGGCCCAGGAGAGGCGCGGGGGGTAGATGGGTGGTAAGACTGGGATGTGGAGAGGAGCCAGAGGCCCCAGCGGCTGTTCTCCCGCACCTCGCCTCCACCCCTGGCCGCTCCTGCCTGGGGCCTTGGGAGGAGCCGAAATAACAATAACAAACAACACAGGGCTTAGCTTGAGCCAGAGTCCGAGACCAACCCCCACGACGCTACGGGGAGGTTTGGATATGCCCCAACCCCTTGCTCCCTTCCTCCATCCTCTTGTCAGTCCCCTCCTCCCCAGCTTTTTCTCCGCCCCCAACCCACCAGCCCAGCCTCCTGCTCCCGCTCCTCTAAGCAGGTTCTGCCCTCGCCCACCATCCTCCCAGGACCCCTCCTCACCCTCAGCTGGGTCGGCTCTCCCTTCCGCCCGCCGCTCCCTCCCCTCCGCCAGCTCTCCTCCTCCCGGGCGCCTGCGGCTGCCCTGCCAAAACTTCTGCAGTTCCCATGCCCTTCGCGGCGACTCCAGGGCTCTCCGCGTTCTATCCGGTACCCCTTCTCTGCCTCCCCAGTCTCTTCTCTCCAGCCCCTCTCACAAGGCTCAGGCATCGGTCCAGCCTCCTCCCCTGTGGACCAAGTGTCAACTCCATCCATCGTCCTTCCGGGCGCCTCTCACCTTGAGGACCCAGGGTCCTCGCCCCCTCATCCTTTGCTTTTCTCTCCCCACCCCATCCTTTGCCTAAACTTCCACAGGGCCTCCGGCTCCAGACGTGCCATTCCCGGCTTCCCCGGGAACCTCCCGCTTCCACCAACAACTCCGCGACGCGCGCCCAGCCTCACCTCTCCGGGCAGGTCCAGGCAGCCCATGGTGGGGATGCGCCCCCCTCGGCGTCTCCCCGCACGGGCCCCAGGCTCAGCCAGCTTCTCTCGCAGCTCGCGGCTGATTCGCACCTCCACCGCCAGCCGCACATTAGACCTCAGGCTGCGGCGGGGACACGGCAGGCCGCAGCAGGGACAGGCGGTGGGGGAAGCCTCGGTGCCGGTCGCCGGCGGAGTCCCCCAGCGGCGGGCCAGACACGCGCGGCAGAAGCTGTGCTCGCACGCCAGAAGCACCGGGTCCTCGAAGGAGCCCCCGCACAGAGGACACGTCGCCAGCTGCTCCAGACGCTCCACCAGCCCCGGGCCCAGCTCGGGCGCATCCATGGAAAGCCAGGATCTGGACGCCGCCCCTTCCGCGACCACCGTGACCGCCTTCGAGCGCGCAGATGGCGGGCCGCCCCTGCTGCTTGCTGTGTAGATGCCCTTCTCTCCGACTCCCGCATTAACTTTTGCCGCTTTCCGCCCCTCTCCTGGGATTGCCTCTCTCTTCAACCAGAGTCTCAGTCTCGTCAAATCTCTCCACCACATCAGGCTTTATAGGGAGGGAGGAGGCTCCCACGGGAGGTAAACACCAGGCCTTGCGTAACGCCTCATCTGGTTCTCCTGCTTCCCGGGTAAGGTTTGGGGGAGCAGGGAGGGGAGAATAGCACACCTGGTTCCCAGAGCCTAGGAGGCGGTCACTAGAGGGCGCTCTGGGGCGGGGTAGCCCTGTGTGGGGAGGGTAGCCCCCTGTGACCCCCCGAAGAGCCCCAATTTTACCTTCCCCTCCGCCTGTGGTACGCGCATGGGCCGGGTGCCCAGGCTCACTCTTGGCATGTGCGCCCACATTGCCAAGGTGCGAGTCATTCCAGGTGGCTGGCACACCTACATCTGGGGGCTGGGGGCCGGAAGCACAGATCCTGGTTTGTGTGGCTTTGGCAAGCCTCTGAGTGTTGATGTGTGGTTTTCATTCCTGGTGCCTCTCGCCTTTCCATCTTCCTTCCTTACCTATTAAGGGCTTAAGGGCATTCTGCAGCTCTGGGGTAAGGGGTGGGGAGCAGGCGCCCACACTTCGGCCTCAGGGAGTCGGGGCAGAGCTCTTTCAGCTCTACCTCTGGCCAGCTCCCAGGGCCTCTCCTTACTTTCTTCGTAAGTCTCTCTTTCTGGTTCTTTCTCTCTGTTTTTCCCCGTGTGTGATTTTATTACCAGTTTTCTCTTTCCTTCCTTCTTTGGAATGTACCCGGTATTATCTATTTCAACTCTGGTAGTTCACAGAGGCCCAGAGAACTGGAATAGCCAAGGTCACATAGCAAGGGAATGACCAGAAGTGGAGCCCTACCCTGGTCTTCTGACTTGTGTTCTTGCTGTGAGTCAACCCTGCCTTTTTCAGTTGCAGATCCCTGGGACCCCCTCCTGCTTCCTGATTTTTTTCTGGTGTTCCTTTGTGCCTTCATTCCTCACCTCCATTCTCTCTTTTTCTCCTTACCTGCTCCTCTCCCCACCTCTCCTCTTCCTCCCTGCTCCCTCCTCTTCCTAGCTTCTCTACCCTTCCAATGCCAGGCCTAGCTAACTGGATACTCATGGGGGTTTGTGCATAAGTAAACATCCAGATGTCTACAACTATGATCACCCACACTGTTATATAACATGTGTCTGCATCCATCAGTGTCCAAATGCCCAAATGTGCACAAACTTGCAGACAGAAGCATTCATGTAATACAAACATCACAGCTAAATATAATGTGTATGAATAGCCTCATATGCATTGAATATCACTGGGATAAATGTCCAGTATTATTTAGGAACAGACGGACATGCTCAAAGAAAACAGGCAAAGAGACAGATACTCTATCATCAGTTTTATTATTAATAAGAATAACAGTATAACAGCAGTAAGTCTTTATGGAGCAGCAGGACTTTATTAGGCACCCCCTCCAGGCACTCTTCTTCTGCCTCCCCCATACTTATTGGGGAGACACTCAAATATGACACCCTGATAAACAAACCTACACAAACAAACACACGTACATTCATCTTGGAACAACCCTCCCGGCTCAGTGCTCATAAAACACACAGATACCCAAGCATAAGACTACAGTTGTGACTGAAATCTATTTTGTAAAAGATGCACTTCTATGCTCTGATAGGTAGCATAGAGAGATAGCAGCATGAGAAGTGATCGGCCTGACATTGCTGGCTTTGGAGACTGAGGCAGGAAGCCACAAGCTAAGGAAGTGGGTAACCTCTGGAAGCTGCAAAAGACGAGGGAATGGATTCTCTAGCAGACCATTCAGAAGGAACCTAGCACTGCTGACACCTTAATTTTTGCCCAGTAAGACCCATTTCAGACTCTGAACTACAGAATAATAAAGTAACAAATGTGTATTGTTTCAAGCTCCTAAGTTTGTGGTAATTTGTTACAGTATCAATAGGAAACTAATACACAAGATTGCCTTTTCTCCTCCAGTCTCTGACTCTCTGAGTCTGTTTGCACTTCTGTGTTGTTGCACCTTCCAGTTTGTCATATTTTCTGGATGTCTCTGCCTCTCTTGACCTTCTTTTCAGTCTCATGTTATCTCTTTTCCTTCATTGTCCTGGCTTATCCCCAACTCCAAGGCCTCTCAGGATCTTTTTGGATCTGGGCTTGAAGTACTGGAGAAATGTCTCTGAGACTCCTCAAGAACCTCAATTGTCACCAATCCAAGTGCCTTGCTATGGCCCTCATGGGCTTGTCAGCGGTTAACAGCTTCAGTTGCACATTAGAATTATCTGGGAAACTTTAAAACTCCTGATGCCCAAGTGACACCTCAGACCAATTAAACGGACACCCTGGGGGTGGGTCCCAGGTGTCAGTACTTTTAAAAGCTTTCCAGATGGTTGCAGTGTTTAGCTAACAGGAGAACCATGGTCTTGAATGACGGCTGTTCATGTGGGCTGGTCACTCCATTTTGCTCCTTGTGCTCTGGCTGCAGTGCCTTCTACTTCTCGTTCCCCGAGCCACTGCTGGTGCGGCTGCACCGCCTTTGCACTCACTGTTCCCTCTGCCTGGGCCCCTGCTCCTCCAGAGCTTCACATGGCTTTCTCCATTTTCTCACTCATGTCTCAACCCAAAGGTAACATTCAGAGAGGACTTCTTTTACCACTTGTATCTCAAGTGGTCTTTCTCAAAGGTATTCACTATCTCTTTACCCATATTTATTATCTTCATGCTATTTATTACTGTCTGCAGTGATCTATTTATGGACTTTTGATGTGTCTCTGTCCAATAGAAGGTGAGTGAACAGGGACCTAACCTTCATGTTTGCTGCTGCTTTCCCTGCACCTAGAATAGCACCTGGCACACAGTGAGCCTTAATAAACTTAGGTCCAGTTGTTGAATTGCTCATTACACTGATTGGACAACCTGAGAGGGTCATTTGATTGACTCTGCTTAGACCTTCTTATCCTTCTCAACCAATAGTCATGCCTCACTGGCAGATGCCAGGCATAGTGCTGGGAAACGCTCAGGTGTTATAAGACATATGGTGCTCAGTCTGGCTAGGAAGTTCATGACTAGTTGTCATTTGCCTTCCATAACCAGATGGTGAGGATTCCTGCTAACAAAGCATCAGCTCAACCTTTACGTCCAGGTTACAATGAGTTCATACCTAATGGTTCCAGGACACCAGTAAGGGAAAAGGCATTTGGAGACAGACTCTGCCTGGAAACATCTCACTTCTCAAGACCTTCTCCCTCCCTTTCCAGAATCCCTAACAACTCTATACTTGATGCTCTAATCACCACTGAGTTCATTCTATTTCCAGAGAGCCAGAAGGGTGGATGTGATTTTACGTGTGTCAGCTTGGCTTGGCTTGATCCAGTTGACCATGACGGGATCCTGTCTCTCTGCTAGGATCCACATCTTCCTTCCTTAATGTAGGTGTCTCCTAAATAACTGTTCCCACCCCTTTCCAACTCCTTCCAGGATTCCTACTTGTGGTGTTGTGGAGTGTGACAGCTTGATACCCATGCATGGCACTAGGGAATGTCAGAGGTGGGACAGGCCTTGACCCATCCCTTCTTTTCCTTCTCTTCATTTTTTTCTTCTATCCTTTCATTTATCCTTCAGTCTCTCTCCTCCATATTAGCAACATCCTCATGCTTTTAAAAGCCCCACTAGTCTTTAGAAGCTTTCCAGAGGGAGAGATAAGTATGATAGAGGAGTTTGGGAGACTGATCACAGGACAGTCATGGTCCCTGCCCTTAGGAAGTGTGATAAGGCAGGTAAAGTGTATCCATCATCAACAAAATTTAGCATTACTGAATTAGGGTGTGTAAGAAGGCAGATAAAGTGTATCCATCATCAACCTAAATCTGTCATTACCAAATTTTAAAGGTGCAGTGACAGGGGAAGAGTGAGGGAGGATTCTGTTGACAGATTGAAGGACAAGTGGGAATCATTTCAGGAAGTCTTCCAGGAGGAGGTGACCTGTAAAAGAAGTGAAGGTTGTGTTGACTGGAAGAGAAGTGAAAAGGCCTGAACAAAGAATGTGAAGCATCTCTGGGGAGAAAACTGGATTGGGAAAAGAAGGGCTAGGAGGTAAGAAATCAAAATGAAGGAGACCATAATTCTTTCTCAATTCCCACTCACTATGCCCTTCCCAAAGATTTTCTTCAATCTTGATTGTTTCTATAATGACTCATTTTTTTAAGGACTTGGATGTTTACACTGTGCTTTAACATAGCTGGAAATTCTATTAGACCAGAGCAGTTTTCCTATGCAACTACTCCAAGGACTCTGAGTAAAACTTGCCCTGATGGGGGAGGCAGTTTTAGGAGGGGTGGCTTGAGGCAGGGATAGAGGAAGAATATCCAGCCAGATTAATCCAATCAATCTTGATACTCAAATACATGACTATGTTATAGAAATGTCACCTTCATAGTCCATTCTCTCATTTAACCCTATAATAGCCGTGAGGCCAAGTCCAGCCATGTTACACTGAGGCCCCTGGGATTCTGGCATGGTAAGGGATTTGACTAGGCTCAAACAGCCGGCAGGAGGCAGAGCCAGGACTGAAATTCAAACCTGCTGGCTCCAAAGTCTATATTCTTTTCCTTAAATATTAATTTCTTTCTTTTGAGACTTTACTTTCTCTTTTCTGTCCCTCCTGGAAGGCTCCTTCCTTTCTCTCCCTTTAAATCCCTGCTTAGGGCTAACAGTTTCTCTGAAATGTTGCCCATCCTTCAAGTTCATGTAGGTGCTCACTTATTCTCTTTCCTTCCAACAACCCACCTATCAATGTCACTAATATTTCTATCCATCATTTAAATTCTCCCCTAAATGTTCACTATTTGTCTTCTCAGTTTTCTTATTTATTTATTTATTTATTATTATTATACTTTAAGTTTTAGGGTACATGTGCACAATGTGCAGGTTAGTTACATATGTATACACGTGCCATGCTGGTGCGCTGCACCCACCAACTCGTCATCTAGCATTAGGTATACCTCCCAATGCTATCCCTCCCCCCTGCCCTCACCCCACAACAGTCCCCAGAGTGTGATGTTCCCCTTCCTGTGTCCACGTGTTCTCATTGTTCAATTCCCACCTATGAGTGAGAATATGCGGTGTTTGGTTTTTTGTTCTTGCGATAGTTTACTGAGAATGATGATTTCCAATTTCATTCATGTCCCTACAAAGGACATGAACTCATCATTTTTTATGACTGCATAGTATTCCATGGTGTATATGTGCCACATTTTCTTAATCCAGTCTATCATTGTTGGACATTTGGGTTGGTTCCAAGTCTTTGCTATTGTGAATAATGCCACAATAAACATACGTGTGCATGTGTCTTTATAGCAGCATGATTTATAGTCCTCTGGGTATATAACCAGTAATGGGATGGCTGGGTCAAATGGTATTTCTAGTTCTAGATCCCTGAGGAATCGCCACACTGACTTCCACAATGGTTGAACTAGTTTACAGTCCCACCAACAGTGTAAAAGTGTTCCTATTTCTCCACATCCTCTCCAGCACCTGTTGTTTCCTGACTTTTTAATGATTGCCATTCTAACTGGTGTGAGATGGTATCTCATTGTGGTTTTGATTTGCATTTTTCTGATGGCCAGTGATGGTGAGCATTTTTTCATGTGTTTTTTGGCTGCATAAATGTCTTCTTTTGAGAAGTGTCTGTTCATGTCCTTCGCCCATTTTTTGATGGGGTTGTTTGTTTTTTTCTTGTAAATTTGTTTGAGTTCATTGTAGATTCTGGATATTAGCCCTTTGTCAGATGAGTAGGTTGCGAAAATTTTCTCCCATTTTGTAGGTTGCCTATTCACTCTGATGGTAGTTTCTTTTGCTGTGCAGAAGCTCTTTAGTTTAATTAGATCCCATTTGCCAATTTTGGCTTTTGTTGCCATTGCTTTTGGTGTTTTAGACATGAAGTCCTTGCCCATGCCTATGTCCTGAATGGTAATGCCTAGGTTTTCTTCTAGGGTTTTTATGGTTTTAGGTCTAACATTTAAGTCTTTAATCCATCTTGAATTAATTTTTGTATAAGGTGTAAGGAAGGGATCCAGTTTCAGCTTTCTACATATGGCTAGCCAGTTTTCCCAGCACCATTTATTAAATAGGGAATCCTTTCCCCATTGCTTGTTTTTCTCAGGTTTGTCAAAGATCAGATACTTGTAGATATGCGGCCTTATTTCTGAGGGCTCTGTTCTGTTCCATTGATCTATATCTCTGTTTTGGCACCAGTACCATGCTGTTTTGGTTACTGTAGCCTTGTAGTATAGTTTGAAGTCAGGTAACGTGATGCCTCCAGCTTTGTTCTTTTGGCTTAGGATAGACTTGACGATGCGGGCTCTTTTTTGGTCCCATATGAACTTTAAAGTAGTTTTTTCCAATTCTGTGAAGAAAGTCATTGGTAGCTTGATGGGGATAGCATTGAATCTGTAAATTACCTTGGGCAGTATGGCCATTTTCACGATATTGATTCTTCCTACCCATGAGCATGGAATGTTCTTCCATTTGTTTGTATCCTCTTTTATTTCCTTGAGCAGTGGTTTGTAGTTCTCCTTGAAGAGGTCCTTCACATCCCTTATAAGTTGGATTCCTAGGTATTTTATTCTCTTTGAAGCAATTGTGAATGGGAGTTCACTCATGATTTGGCTCTGTGTTTGTCTGTTGTTGGTGTATAAGAATGCTTGTGACTTTTGTACATTGATTTTGTATCCTGAGACTTTGCTGAAGTTGCTTATCAGCTTAAGGAGATTTTGGGCTGAGACAATGGGGTTTTCTAGATATACAATCATGTCGTCTGCAAACAGGAACAATTTGACTTCCTCTTTTCCTAATTGAATACCCTTTATTTCCTTCTCCTGACTAATTGCCCTGGCCAGACCTTCCAACACTATGTTGAATAGGAGTGGTGAGAGAGGGCATCCCTGTCTTGTGCCAGTTTTCAAAGGGAATGCTTCCAGTTTTTGCCCATTCAGTATGATATTGGCTGTGGGTTTGTCATAGATAGCTCTTATTATTTTGAAATACATCCCATCAATACCTAATTTATTGAGAGTTTTTAGCATGAAGCGTTGTTGAATTTTGTCAAAGGCCTTTTCTGCATCTATTGAGATAATCATGTGGTTTTTGTCTTTGATTCTGTTTATATGCTGGATTACATTTATTGATTTGTGTATATTGAACCAGCCTTGCATCCCAGGGATGAAGCCCACTTGATCATGGTGGATAAGCTTTTTGATGTGCTGCTGGATTTGGTTTGCCAGTATTTTATTGAGGATTTTTGCATCAATGTTCATCAAGGATATTGGTCTAAAATTCTCTTTTTTGGTTGTGTCTCTGCCCAGCTTTGGTATCAGGATGATGCTGGCCTCATAAAATGAGTTAGGGAAGATTCCCTCTTTTTCTATTGATTGGAATAGTTTCAGAAGGAATGGTACCAGTTCCTCCTTGTACCTCTGGTAGAATTCGGCTGTGAATCCATCTGGTCCTGGACTCTTTTTGGTTGGTAAGCTATTGATTATTGCCACAATTTCAGATCCTGTTATTGGTCTATTCAGAGATTCAGCTTCTTCCTGGTTTAGTCTTGGGAGAGTGTATGTGTCAAGGAATTTATCCATTTCTTCTAGATTTTCTAGTTTATTTGCATAGAGGTGTTTGTAGTATTCTCTGATGGTAGTTTCTGTTTCTGTGGGATCGGTGATGATATCCCCTTTATCATTTTTTATTGTGTCTATTTGATTCTTCTCTCTTTTTTCTTTATTAGTCTTGCTAGCGGTTTATCAATTTTGTTGATCCTTTCAAAAAACCAGCTCCTGGATTCATTAATTTTTTGGAGGGTTTTTTTGTGTCTCTATTTCCTTCAATTCTGCTCTGATTTTAGTTATTTCTTGCCTTCTGCTAGCTTTTGAATGTGTTTGCTCTTGCTTTTCTAGTTCTTTTAATTGTGATTATAGGGTGTCAATTTTAGATCTTTCCTGCTTTCTCTTGTGGGCATTTAGTGCTATAAATTTCCCTCTACACACTGCTTTGAATGCGTCCCAGAGATTCTAGTATGTTGTATCTTTGTTCTCGTTGGTTTCAAAGAACATCTTTATTTCTGCCTTCATTTCGTTATGTACCCAGTAGTCATTCAGGAGCAGGTTGTTCAGTTTCCATGTAGTTGAGCGGTTTTGAGTGAGATTCTTAATCCTGAGTTCTAGTTTGATTGAACTGTGGTCTGAGAGATAGTTTGTTATAATTTCTGTTCTTTTACATTTGCTGAGGAGAGCTTTACTTTCAAGTATGTGGTCAATTTTGGAATAGGTGTGGTGTGGTGCTGAAAAAAATGTATATTCTGTTGATTTGGGGTGGAGAGTTCTGTAGATGTCTATTAGGTCTGCTTGGTGCAGAGCTGAGTTCAATTCCTGGGTATCCTTGTTAACTTTCTGTCTTGTTGATCTGTCTAATGTTGACAGTGGGGTGTTAAAGTCTCCCATTATTAATGCATGGGAATCTAAGTCTCTTTGTAGGTCACTCAGGACTTGCTTTATGAATCTGGGTGCTCCTGTATTGGGTGCATATATATTTGGGATAGTTAGCTCTTCTTGTTGAATTGATCCCTTTACCATTATGTAATGGCCTTCTTTGTCTCTTTTGATCTTTGTTGGTTTAAAGTCTGTTTTATCAGAGACTAGGATTGCAACCCCTGCCTTTTTTTGTTTTCCATTTGCTTGGTAGATCTTCCTCCATCCTTTTATTTTGAGCCTATGTGTGTCTCTGCACGTGAAATGGGTTTCCTGAATACAGCACACTGATGGGTCTTGACTCTTTATCCAATTTGCCAGTCTGTGTCTTTTAATTGGAGCATTTAGTCCATTTACATTTAAAGTTAATATTGTTATGTGTGAATTTGATCCTGTCATTATGATGTTAGCTGGTTATTTTGCTCATTAGTTGATGCAGTTTCTTCCTAGTCTCAATGGTCTTTACATTTTGGCATGATTTTGCAGCAGCTGGTACTGGTTGTTCCTTTCCATGTTTAGTGCTTCCTTCAGGAGCTCTTTTAGGGCAGGCCTGGTGGTGACAAAATCTCTCAGCATTTGCTTGTCTGTAAAGGATTTTATTTCTCCTTCACTTATGAAGCTTAGTTTGGCTGGATATGAAATTCTGGGTTGAAAATTCTTTTTTTTAAGAATGTTGAATATTGACCCCCACTCTCTTCTGGCTTGTAGAGTTTCTGCCGAGAGATCCGCTGTTAGTCTGATGGGCTTCCCTTTGAGGGTAACCCGACCTTTCTCTCTGGCTTTTCTTAACATTTTTTCCTTCATTTCAACTTTGGTGAATCTGACAATTACGTGTCTTGGAGTTGCTCTTCTCGAGGAGTATCTTTGTGGCGTTCTCTGTATTTCCTGAATCTGAACGTTGGCCTGCCTTGCTAGATTGGGGAAGTTCTCCTGGATAATATCCTGCAGAGTGTTTTCCAACTTGGTTCCATTCTCCCCGTCACTTTCAGGTACACCAATCAGATGTAGATTTGGTCTTTTCACATAGTCCCATATTTCTTGGAGGCTTTGCTCGTTTCTTTTTATTCCTTTTTCTCTAAACTTCCCTTCTCGCTTCATTTCATTCATTTCATCTTCCATCGCTGATACCCTTTCTTCTAGTTGATCGCATCAGCTCCTGAGGCTTCTACATTCTTCACGTAGTTCTCGAGCCTTGGTTTTCAGCTCCATCAGCTCCTTTAAGCACTTCTCTGTATTGGTTATTCTAGTTATTCATTCTTCTAAATTCTTTTCAAAGTTTTCAACTTCTTTGCCTTTGGTTTGAATGTCCTCCCATAGTTCGGAGTAATTTGATCGTCTGAAGCCTTCTTCTCTCAGCTCGTCAAAGTCATTCTCCGTCCAGCTTTGTTCCATTCCTGGTGAGGAACTGCATTCCTTTGGAGGAGGAGAGGAGCTCTGCTTTTTAGAGTTTCCAGTTTTTCTGCTCTGTTTTTTCCCCATCTTTGTGGTTTTATCTACTTTTGGTCTTTGACGATGGTGATGTACAGATGGGTTTTTTGTGTGGATGTCCTTTCTGTTTGTTAGTTTTCCTTCTAACAGACAGGACCCTCAGCTGCAGGTCTGTTAGAGTACCCGGCCGTGTGAAGTGTCAGTCTGCCCCTGCTGGGGGGTGCCTCCCAGTTAGGCTGCTCGGGGGTCAGGGGTCAGGGACCCACTTGAGGAGGCAGTCTGCCCGTTCTCAGATCTCCAGCTGCGTGCTGGGAGAACCACTGCTCTCTTCAAAGCTGTCAGACAGGGACATTTAAGTCTGCAGAGGTTACTGCTGTCTTTTTGTTTGTCTGTGCCCTGCCCCCAGAGGTGGAGCCTACAGAGGCAGGCAGGCCTCCTTGAGCTGTGGTGGGCTCCACCCAGTTCGAGCTTCCCGGCTGTTTTGTTTACCTCAGCAAGCCTGGGCAATGGCGGGCGCCCCTCCTCCAGCCTCGCTGCCACCTTGCAGTTTGATCTCAGACTGCTGTGCTAGCAATCAGCGAGACTCTGTGGGCGTAGGACCCTCTGAGCCAAGTGCGGGATATAATCTCCTGGTGCGCCGTTTTTTAAGCCCGTCGGAAAAGCGCAGTATTCGGGTGAGAGTGACCCGATTTTCCAGGTGCCCTCTGTCACCCCTTTCTTTGACTAGGAAAGGGAACTCCCTGACCCCTTGTGCTTCCTGAGTGAGGCAATGCCTCGCCCTGCTTCGGCTCACGCACGGTGCGCGCACCCACTGACCTGTGCCCACTGTCTGGCACTCCCTAGTGAGATGAACCTCAGATGGAAATGCAGAAATCACCTGTCTTCTGCGTTGCTCACGCTGGGAGCTGTAGACCGGAGCTGTTCCTATTTGGCCATCTTGGCTCCTCCCCCCATCTTCTCAGTTTTCTCAAGGCCTTCTTGTTCTCCAAGCCCTTAGCAGTTTCCATTTTTTTTTTTTTGTTTGTTTGTTTGTTTGTGACAGAGTCTCGCTCTGTCACCAGGCTGGAGTGCAGTGGCATGAGCTCAGTTCACTACAACCTCTGCCTCCTGGGTTCAAGCGATTCTCCTAGCTTAGCCTCCCAAGTAGCTGGGACTACAGGCACATGCCACCACACCCAGCTAATTTTTGTATTTTTAGTAGAGATGGGGTTTTGTCATGTTTGCCAGGCTGGTCTTGAACTCCTTACCTCAGGTGATCTGCCTGCTTCAGCCTACCAAAGTGCTAGGATTACAGGTGTGAGCCACTGCACCTGGCCAGCAGTTTCCTTTTAAGAGCTGTGCATTCATTCATCCATTCATTTAATCATTCAACAACTATTTACTAAGCACCTACTATGTACCATGCGTTGTTCTAGGAGTTAGGAAGAGTGGAGAGCAAGCCAGCCATAGTCCCTTGTCCTCTGGTAATTTAGATTCCATTGAAAAAGGCCAACAATAAGCAAGTAAACAAATAAATTAACAAGATAATTATAGATTGTGATCAGTGCTTTGAAGAATACAAAGTGGGTAATATAAGAGGAATTAACTGGAGGAGGTGTGCACTACTTTTAATAGGATGTTAGAAAAAGCTCCTCTGAGAAGGTGAAGAGAGGGAGCCAGCAATGAGAAGAGTTGGGAGAGAGCAACAACAGCAGATGCAAAGACCCTGAAGTGGGAAAGATCTTGAACGTATGAAGTGGGATGACAATGGTTTGATGTGAGATTGGAGAGGTACTAAGAGCCAAGCTGTGTAGGACCTTAGGGACCAGGATAAGGAGTTGATCGTTGTTCTAAGAGCAGTGGAATGCCACTGAGTAGCTGTAAGTGTGATATTTACGTGGTCTAATGGATTGATTGATTGATTGATTGATTGTAGAGATGGGATCCGGCTGTGTTGCCCAGGCTGATCTCAAGCTCCTGGCTTCAATCAATCCTCCCACTTTGGCCTCATCTCCCAAAGAGCTGAGATTATAGGCATAAGCTACCACACTCAGCATGATTTATGTATTTTGAAGCTCATTTTGTCCTAGTAGTCTTTTCTCTCAGTTTTCTTTTTCTAATTCCTATTCCCCTTCACATTATTTACATTCAAGACGATCATCTCATTTCCATGTCCACTTCCCCATCGGGGAGAATAGGTCTTCCAAACAAGGTATTTATTAACCTGTACAAGGATCGCTAGTAAGTGCACCAAATATAGCTAATTTGATTCTGGCTCCCACCTCTATTAAAGACTTCAAAGAATCATAGATTTGTAGAATGCTAGAGTTGTAGGGAACATTAACAATGTGTAGTCTAGCCCTTACAACATGGATAAGAAAATTGATTCCCAGAGAGATGATCTTGCTGGTGTGTAAGTAGGGAAAACTTTCGGATCCTCATCTGTCAAGAATGCAGGAGCAGGTTCCTTCCTGTCTTTTAGGCGCCTGTTTCAATTAAGAAAAAAAAATATTGGCTGGGCACGGTGGCTCATGCCTGTAATCCCAACACTTTGGGAGGCTGAGTTGGGCAGATCACAAGGTCAAGAGATCGAGACCATCCTGGCCAACATGGTGAAACCCCGTCTCTACTAAAAATACAAAAGTTAGCTGGGCATGGTGGCACATGATGTAGTCACAGCTACTTAGGAGGCTGAGGCAGGAGAATTGCTTGAACTCAGGAGGCAGAGGTTGCAGTGAGCAAGATCACTCCACTGCACTCCAGCCTGGCGACAGAGCGAGACTCCGTCTCAAAAAAAAAAAAAAAAAAAAAAAAAAAAAAAAAAAAGTCAGGATGTCCTAACTGGTTTATTGGCTTCAAGGTCAATCACCATAGGTCAGTAGTGCTGCAGCTACTGCTAGCATAGCAGCCACGGGCCCAGCTGCCCTACCCCCATGCACATTTCATGTTTATTGGGGCTCATCCATGCTCTTCTATAGGAAAATAGCCTCTACCTCACTTCTGCATTTCAAATCTCATAGAAATACATTTAGTTGGAAGGACTTAATTCATGTCCAGAATCCTAGCTCCAAAAATTCTGAGAAATAGAGTTTTTTACTTTTCAATCTCTTCAATAGAAAGGAAATGAGGTCATTCCATATATGTAGGTTTGGCAGATAAAATGCAGAACATCCAGTTAAATTTGAATTTCAGATAAACAATGATTTTTTAGTATAAGTATCTCCCAAATACTGCATGGGGCATACTTACACAAAATACTTGTTTATTATTTATCTAAAATTCAGATTTAAATGGACATCCTGTACTTTTATTTGATAAATCTGACATTTTGACAAATCTCCAGCACAGAGACTGAGAGCAGAAGTCCTTAATTTAGATGGGGGACATTGAGGAAGGCCCATCTTCCAAGGTGATATTTAAGGGGAGACCTGAGAGATGAATAAGAGATCATCATGCTCAAAGAGGAGAGAAGGGCATTGCAGGCACAGGTAACAGCTTTGCAACAGCCTAGAGGCAAGAACAATTTGGGCTAATTTAAGCAAAGTTGACACATGATGAGTTAGGAGTAAAGATGGCACAAGATAATAATGAAGACGTAGGCAGAGACTAGAGCAAGTGAAATCTTAAGTTTTAGTAGTGGAATAAACAAGAGTGGAATGGGGGAGACCCAGGGTCACTACCTGCTAATGGCATTCCCAGAGTTGTATACGGCAGTCATCCCAAAGAGAGAAAACTATGCCAGTAATTTAGGTGAGAAAGGATGATGGCTTGAGATAGTGGGATCCAGTGGAGCTGAAAATGAGCAGGCCAATTTGAAGTGTATTTTGTAGATAGAATTGACAAAAACATTGAAGTGGCCTTTGGGTGATGAGGGAGGGGAAAATCAATCATGAATTTCTAATTTCTGGAATGGATGACTGTGTAATTGCAAGGCTGTTACAGAAATGGGCTACATACTTAATGAGCTTTGGATGTTGAGATGGGATCACAAGAGAGGGGGTAAAGACAAAGTGATGAGATATTTTGTTTCAGTTGGACCACAGTCCACAATAACTGCTTCTCCTCTCTGCAGAATATTCACTAACATGCACGAGACCTGTTTGCTCTGTCCTTCTCTCCTTCCTCCCTGCCCTCCCCTTCATCATTTTCTCCTTTTTATTCTCTGTCCTTTCTTTCTGTTCTGTAGTCATCCTATTTCCTTGACAGAATCGAAGCCTCAGCCAGTGAGATAGATGGAGTGTAGGCAGCTAGAAATGGAAAGGATTCCTGTGCTTCTGTGATTCACAGTCTCCCAGTGGGCCTTTAAACCATTTAACCTCTGTTGTCCAGACCCCAGGAAGAGGGGAGGCTGGAAGAGGGAAAAGAACTTGGACTGGAGCAGCAGGGGAGGCCCTGGAGGAAGGAGCAGGTATCATCCTCCAGCAAATGGGCAATCCATTAGTCCAAACTCCTCATTTTAAAATTGAAAAAACTGAAGCCTTTGCCCATTTTGACTAAACCAGATAAGAAATTATACAGTATGAAGGAACATTGACACCACTTAGAAACAGTAGGGTGTCAAGATTTGACTTGACTCTTGTTAGTTTTGTGACTATAAAGTGAAAACAATTATATCAAAAAATTTGTTTTAGGGATGATAAAAGTAATTTATACTTATTCGTTCAAAAGTACTTATTAAGGACCTACTATGTGCAGATACAGTGTTGAAAGCTAGGGACTCAGTGGAGATCAACACAGACAGGAACCTGGCCTCATGGGAATTCTAAACTCTAGCGGGGAGAACAGCTCATTAACAAATAAATAAGTGTAATGTATGGTAGGTACCACGAAGCAACATAAAGCTGGGAAGAAAGACACAAATGCTAGCATAGTTTTCTCTCTTTGGGATGACTGCCTTATACAACTCTGGGGAATGCCATTAGCAAGTAGTGGCCTCGGATCTTCCCCCATTGCACTCTTGCCTATTCCACTACTAAAACCTAAGTTTTTGCTTGCTCTAATCTCTAAGTCTTCATTATTATCTTGTGCCATCTTTACTCCCAACTCATCATGCGTCAACTTTGCTTAAATTAGCCCAAATTGTTCTTGCCTCTAGGTTGATGCAAAGCTGTTACCTGTGCCTGGGATGCCCTTCTCTCCTCTCTGAGCATGATGATCTCTTATTCATCTCTCAGGTCTGCCCTTAAATATCACCTAGAGAGATGGGCCTTCTCAATGCTGGATGGAGTGCTGGATGGAGTAGATAGAGTTACAATCTCAATAGATTCTATTTGAGCAAAGATTTGAAGGTGGTAAGAGAAGTCGTCAAGTGCTTATCTGAAGGAAGGATCATCCAGATGAAAGGAAAGGCAGAGGCAAAGGCTGTGATGCTGAAGCTGCTGATGTGTTTGAGATTTAACATGAGGCCATGTGGCTGGAGCAGAGGGAGCAGCGGGTGTGGAGTAGGAAGTCAGAGATGGGACTGGCCGACTGTGCAGGGCTTTGTCATTGTCAGGACTTCATTCAGTACTGGGTGAGGTGAGCCTACCAGGGGTTGGAGTTGGTGGGAAGGGGCTGACTTCTGGACGTGAGTTACTGCATTGGTTGTGGAGTGTGAGAGCAAAGGAGGAGGCAGGAAGCTCTAACGAATTTGGCCCCACCATGGGGAGGATGGAGCTGCCAGTGACTGCAGTGGGAAGAACTGTGAGGAGCTGGCCTGGGCAGGAATATCAGGGGTGGCATGTTGGACATGTGAAGCCAGGAGGCCTGTGGGCCATCCAACAGTGCTGTGAACTGTGCAGCCCGATGTAAGCATATCTGACATTAGGAGTGGTGGAGAAACAAAAAGAACAAGGATAGTTCATTTTAACACAGTAATAATTTTATAATTTTATAATTTTCAAATCATTAAAGATTTTACTACTTTCTTAACTACTCCAGGAGCCTGTGTCACATTCCAGTCACAGGGAGGAAACTGGGGGCCATGCAGGATAAAGGTCAAAGCCTGCATGCTGGGACTCAAGTGCTTCCTCCCCAACAGTATTAGAACACCAACTCCCAGGAGCACAGAGACTTGAAGAGAGTGTCCGGGTCGTGGACTATGAGTCAGAGAAACCAAGCCAGGGGCATGCAAGGCAGCACGAGGCAGAGCAGGGAAACCCAGCAAGGGAGGTGGCAACGCACAGTGACCTAGAAAAGCCTGATGAGCTGAGAGCCAGCCGACAACAGGCCCCATGTGCCTCTGTGTCTTGGTCCACATGATAGACTCTCCCTCCCTCCCTTCCTTCCTCTCCTCTGGTGACCAGTAGCTAAAACATCACTGGCACGCTGCTGGCATCCAGCCTGCCAATTAGTTCAGGAGCCACTCCCTCTGACTGCCTCCTGAGCCTCAGATGTTACCTCCCCTGTCTCCCAAACACACCCCTCCAGCTCTGTCCTGCCTGCCCTGAATCTCTGGAAGGAAAACTTGCCCTGGGACCTGCCTTGGACTCTCTGGTTCCCCTCATCCAGCCCCTCCCTGCGCAGAACATGGCATCTCGTGCCCTTTTATCTGCCATTTCTGGCCACCTTTGCAAGCGTCCTTGAAACCAGCGCTTGGTAGAGTTATCCACGCCCATGTGAGGCTCCCCTGCCCCCTGGGTGGTGTATGTGGCAGGAGGAGCAGGGAGGAGCTTCAAGGAAGCAGAGGGAAAGGAACCTATAAGAGTTCTTGGGATGGCTTCCAGGAAGCTGTGAGGACAGAGCTATGCTGAAAGGAGAAAGGCAAAGGCTACAGAAAAGTGAACACTGAAGAGGAATTAGGCAAGAACAAAGCCTACCAAGTTAGAAGAAGGGAATGAGAGGGCGAAACAACAGCACCAGAAAGGAATGAGGTTGCCGGGCACGGTGGCTCATACCTGTAATCCCAGCACTTTGGGAGGCCGAGGCAGGCGAACCACCTGAGGTCGGGAGTTCGAGACCAGCCTGACCAACATGGAGAAACCCTGTCTCTACTAAAAATACAAAATTAGCTGGGTATGGTGGTGCATGTCTGTAATCCCAGCTACTCAGTGAGGCTGAGGCAGGAGAATCGCTTGAACCCGGGAGGCGGAGGTTGTGGTGAGCCGATGCGCCATTGCACTCCAGCCTGGGCAACAAGAGCAAAACTGCATCTCAAAAAAAAAAAAAAAGAAGAAAGAAAGAAAGAAAAAGAAAAAGAAAGGAATGAGGATCAGGAGTCGGGGGGAGAGACATGATCTTACAGAACGGGCTGGACCTGGGGAGAGGATTTTGTCAGAACTATGGAAAGTTTGAAATGAGGTTGAAGAAGGAGTGATGGTAATACTTTTTACATTTTTAGAACATCTTCTTATATTTTATTTCATCATTCATTCCTCATAGATCTCATTACCCCCATTTTACGGATCAAGAAACTGAGGCTCAGAGAGGTGATGTGAGTTGTCCAAGATCACACAGCTAATAAGAAGGTACATTCTCCTCTATACCACAGAGCACCTCTTCTGTGTGTGGCATATTACATAGAAAAATGAGATTAGACATTTAGAAGTTGAGGATTCTCATCCCGCAAACACTTATGGGGCACTTTTTATGTGCCAGGCAACATGCTAAGCACTGAAGATACTAAGACGCCCTGCTTTCAAAAGACTGACCTTCTGGTTAAGGAGTGATATGAGTGGTGCAAACCAGGTGGGGGGCGGGGCTGCCCATAGGCTGAGGGCTCCTCTGGGAGAGGGCAGCTTAGGGAAGCTTTTACAGCGGATGTCTGGGAAGAAGGGAACCACTTCCCCAGTGGGTGGTGGAAGGGGATAGCAGAGGGCATTTCAGGGAAAAGCAAGCAAGCAGAGTGTGTGGGAGAGCTCCAAGGAGTTGAGATCCACAAAAGAGGGATGTGTAGGGAGCTGGATGGAAAAGCTAAAGAAATAATGGGGAGAATAGTGATATTAATTAAATTCGTGATCTGTTTAAAACCATTGCATAGGGCAAGGCACAGTGGCTCATGCCTATAATCCCAGCACTTTGGGAGGGTGAGGCAGGAGGATCACTTAGCCCAGGAGTGAGAGACCAGCCTGGGCAACATAGCAAGATTTGTCCCAATGAAAAAAAATACTAAATGTTTTTAAAAGGCACAATGCATAGCTGTAATAACAGTTGAGGAGGAATCTTACAACTACAGTGTTAAAGGAGACAAAGGGTGTTTCTTCATTATGTTGCGGTGATGGAAACTTAAATGAGATAAGGATATATTTGAGTCTTCCTATATGCCAGATGGCATGCAAAATGTTTTTATATACATTATGTAATTGAATTCATGTAACAGTGAAAAATAGTGAAGATGACCTATTTGGGTTGACATGAGAAGATCTATAAGATCGTGGTTAAAAGAAAAAGTCAGTGCAGAACATTATGTACTATAAATTATGACCCATAGTAAAGAAACACATACAGGGGAAGGGTTTTGGTCAGAGGGAGTACAGAGCCAGGGCAGCCAAGAGAAGGAGGTGTGTCTGAGCCTGGTGCAGGCTGCGTGCCTAGGGCTGGCACTGAGAGGGACATGGAGCTTGTCATACTGAGGGCATAACTCAATCCTGTTACACTAGGCAAGTCTCAGAGAATTTTCAAGTGGAAGTGAAACACACTCTGGTGACACAGGTTGTAGAGATTGTTCTGTCTGCAGGTGGATAGATTGGAGGCAGGAGGAGAGCAGTCAGGTAGGAGAGATCCCGTGGGGTGGACAAGCCTGGCCCCTGGAAACAGAGTCGGGGGAGAGGAAGCAAGGGTGAGAAACTGGGCTGAGGAAATGAGTGGGTGACAGATCTTCACATGGCTGGTAGGGGGAAAAAAAAGGAACACAGAACACAATTAGATTATTTTCAGGATTTTCATCGCAGTTATATATGCAAATAAAAAGTTAAACAAGTTGATGAGTTAATTTTTTAAAATGGCAGCCCTCACCCCCATCTCCACTACTTTCAACTCTTTTAGCTGTTTTGGTGTTCACCTTCACATCTGTAAATACAAGGATTATATTATTACTATTTGCTCTTCTAATTTTAGGCATTATCTATTATTGATTTGCTGTTATCAAAGATATAGCTTTTTCTTGTAACCACAACCTCACTTGATCCCACAAACACATATCCTCACTATTCCCACTGTCCCTGGTTTATAGCTATTTCAAATACACACACACACACACACACACACACACACACACACATTTCTATGTGTATAAAACACAGATATGTAAATACACACAAACATGTCCTGAAGGATCAAATCAAACTAGGATTCAGGAAGATCATAGCTAAAGAAGACTTTCGGCTTGCACGGTGGCTCACACCTGTAATCCTAGCATTTTGGGAGGCCAAGGTGGGCGGATCACCCAAGGTCAGGAGTTCGAGACCAGCCAGACCAACATGGCAAAACCCCATCTCTACTAAAAGTACAAAAAATTAGCTGGGTGTGGTGGTGGGCACCTGTAATCCCAGCTACCTAAGAGACTGAGGCAAGAGAAGCCCTTGAACCCGGGAGGCTGAGGTTGCAGTGAGCTGAGATGTGCCAGTGCACTCCAGCCTGGGTGACAGAGCAAGGCTTCATAAAAACTTCATAAAAAAAAAAAGAAGAAGAAGAAGAAGATTTGAACCAAAAGGTAGAGAAGCACAAGACAAGAGGCCGTGAAAAAGCAAGTCATGCATTGGTGAGTATGTGTGTGGAGGGCAGGGATGAGGAAAATTTCAGAACAGAATCAATTCAGCCTTGTGCAGAAAGGAATAATGAAGGCAGGAGGCAGCAACTTCAGGGCTGTCTGATTTGAAGGAAATATTAAAGCCTTTATCAGGAAAGGGGAATCACTAACAGTCAGACAGAAGCACCAGACTGAAGGAAAAAAGATCACAGCCCCATATCCTTAGAGAGTATCAGAGACCTCAGATGCCAGGCATCTGCCATGCTGTTGTTTTACTCTGCAGTGAGTCACTGGATCCTTGAAACTGGGGGCAAGGGTGAGATCATTACCCCAGAAGGCAGGGAGCAGAGACAACAAGGCCCTTGGGGTCCAGGCAGCTGAACCCGTCTGGTCAGAGGCCACTGTCACAAAACCAACAAAGAATTCATATCTAATAGGTTTTCCTCAGGGCTCAGATGAGTAGGTTTGGGAGTTACTGGGAGGCTGTGATACCAGGCAGGATGACAAACAAAAACAGTCAGCCAAGAAAACAAGCTTCAGAGTGTTTGCCCTGGGAGAACAATGGATGTCCGGGTAGAGCCAAAGCCACTGGCTCCTCCCTCCCCACAACTCAGAGCCACCAGGGACCTGGGCCACGTGTCCCTTTCCATGACCATGGGGTGTGTGACTGCGGGAGGCTGAAAGTGTCAGCACTGTGACCTGGAAATATATGCCTGGATTGGGGAGGTGGACACCTTGGAAATAAACTCCAGACTTCCTCTATTTGAAAAATTTTGTGGCCGGAAGCGTTGGCTCAAGCCTGTAATCTCAGCACTTTGGGAGGCCGAGGCAGGTGGATCACGAGGTCAGGAGATCGGACCAACTGGCTATGGTGAAACCCCATCTCTACTAAACAAAATACAAAAAATTAGCCGGGCATGGTGGCAGGCACCTGTAGTCCCAGCTACTGTGGAGGCTGAGGCAGGAGAATGGCATGAACCCGGGAGGCAGAGCTTGCAGTGAGCCGAGATCGCACCACTGCCCTCCAGCCTAGGCAACAGAGCAAGAGTCTGTCTCAAAAAAAAAAAAAAAAAAAGAAAAAAAAAAAAGAAAAGTTTTTTGCATTGAACTGGATTCTGCACATATCTATACACATGCTCCAATCCCACTAATTCATCTTTTTTCCCAATGCCCAACCTAAACACTGAGAGAAAAAAAAAGAGCAGCCTCTGACATTCAGAAGTTGGCCTAACAGAGCTAAACCATGTTATTCACCTAGTAGGCATAAACTATATTACAGAATACCAATCTCAGACAAGTTTACTCCTAGACCTTGATAAAGTGAGACAATGCAAGGCTGCTTCACAAGTTTTTCTGAGCACAGATCCAAAAAAAGACACTGTGCCACCCACAAAATACCAAACACCCCTTCTCTTGGTTAACAGAAATGTTTGCTACTTCTTTACCAATTATAGCTTTCCCCTCATTCTAGTCTCCCCTCCCTATAGAAAATATTTATTTGGGTATTCATTCACAGGATCTGCTCTGCTTTCTAACAGCATTAATCCAGAGCAAACCCCCACTTCCTTAGACCTTTCCCCAAATCACCTAACCAAAACCCAAACCCTATCATAGGTTTTTTCCTAACACTCTTATTAAAATGTCCCACACTCCCCATGGGGTGCATTCTCCATTGCTGCAAGGAGTAATAAACCCAGCATGTTTAATGACAGTTATGTTCCTGGGGGGTCTTTGGCTGGAAAACACGGGTAACAGTGTTCTTTGCTTCCTTCTTAACTCTCTGGGATCTACATTGAAGACCTGGCCCCATGTTGTGTGGGAGAAGCTGGTACAAAGGCAGGAGGTGCTCTTAGAAAGGACAAAACCAGTAATGCATTCACTCAACAAATATTTATGGAGCACCCACACATGCCACAGACTGTTCTAGGTACCAAGGACAATAGACAAATAAAGCAGGATCCCTGAATTTTTAGGAAGCTCTCAGTTGGGGTAGAGGTGAGAAACACACATAAACAGATCGTCTTGATTGTGGAGATTAGTGCAGTGATCAAAGTATGCCCTGGGGACTGCTATGTGCTTATAGATGTGGTGCCTAAACCAGTGTCGGAGAGGAGTGGGGGATCAAGAAAGGCTTTCAGGGAAGGAGGCGTTTGAGGCCCTGGAAGGCTGAGGACAAGCTAAGAAGAAGGAACAATGAAAGAGGGTCAGGGAGATGTAAACAGTGTGGTGAGTGGGGAATTTTAGGCAATTTGGCCTTTCTGGAGTGAAAAATGGGAAGCAGGTGGGGGCAGGGGTTAGGCTGAAGGCAGGCCAACGTGCAGTTCAGGCTTTATCCTTTAGAGAAGGGAGGCATTATTGAAAGTCCAACAAGTTCTAACATGACCAGATTATATTTTTAGAAATCATTTGAATATCTGCAACTTACTTTAAAATGCATAAAATTATAAGATGGATAGAAGGATGAAGGAATGGGTCGATGGAAACATATTTGATAAAGCAAGTACAGTAAAATGCTAATGAGAAAATGTAGGTGGTAATATTTGGATGGTCACTGTAAAATTCATTCAACTCTTCTGTCAGAAGATTTTCAAAATAAAATTTTAGAAAAGCATAGACTTTGGCCTGGGTAATGGAAGATGGATTGGGCAGAATAAGTCTGGAGGCAGGGAAATGAGAAAGGCAGCTGTCATAATCCAGGTGAGGGCTGATCTAGACAGTGCTAGGAGGAAGATGGGTGGAGTCCTGTGGTAGGCGCTAACATCAAGGAGGTTGGGGCCTCAAGGACTGTAAGAATGAGGAAGAAGAAAGAGTTGAAGATAACACCTAGGTTGGGTGACTGTGTGGGGGTTGGTAGCAACAATGAGTATAAAACAGGCAGCAGGATCAGGTCTGGGAAGGGGGACAAGATGACTTCATGACCCCAGAGTTTCTATAGGAATATGCTTTGGGAGCTTGCAGACCCCTGGCTCCTCAAGGGGGCCACTCTGGTGGGGGAAGGGGCTCAGTACCGTGGATCTCCATCTCTTGACACTTGCCCCAGTTTTCACTGGATTTCCCCAGGAGTGGAGTGGCTCTTACTCTCCCTCCCTAGGGAGCAGCTCTTCCACCCTCCTAATGACTTCTCCACTCCTGCCATGCTTTTTCCTCTTTTAGCTTTTGAAAACCATCTTTCTCCTTTCTCTGGTTTTCCAAGCCAGATACTCAAATTTGACCCTCCCTGGAGAGTACACCCTCTATGCTCACTATCTCTTTTCCCTTCTGCTCATCTTAGCATCCCCCAAGTGTTGCCCTTGGCTCTTTTCCAATACCATTGTTTCTTTTTTATGTTCTCGCTTTCCTGTGGGTGACAGATTATGGAGTTGTGGGTTGAATTTTGTCTGCCAAGGACATATTGAAGTCCTAGCCCCAGGTACCTACGTATGTGGCTTTATTCAAAAATAGGGTCTTGGCCAGATGAGGTGGCTCACCCCTGTAATCCCAGCACTTTGGGAGACCAAGGTGGGCAGATTGCTTGAGCTCAAGAGTTGGAGACCAGACTGATCAACATAGCAAAACCCTGTCCCTACAAAAAATACAAAAATTAGCCAGGCATGGTGCTGTGTGCCTGTAGTCCCACATGCTGTGTGCCTGTAGTCCCACCTACTCGGGAGGCTGATGTGGGAAGATCACTTGAGCCAGTGAGGTGGAGGTTGCAGTAAGCCGAGATCATGCCACTGCACTGCAGCCTGGGTGATAGAGCCAGACCTTGTCTCAAAAAAGAAAGAAAGAAAGAAAGAAAGAAAGAAAGAAAGAAAGAAAGAAAGAAGAAAGGGAGGGAAAGAAGGAAGGAAGGAAGCAAGGAAAGAAGGAAGGAGGGAGGGAGGGAGGGAAGGAAAGAAGGAAAGAAAGAGAGAGAGAAAAAGAAAATAGGGTCTTTTCATCAAGTTCAGATGAGGTCATATTGGATCAGGGTGGGCCATTATAAGAGGAGGGAAATTTTGACACAGACACATGGGAGACGGCCATGTGAAAATGCTGTCAGAGATTGGAGTGAGGCATCTACAAGCCAAAGAATGCCACGGATTGCCAGCAAACACCAGGAGCTAGAAGAGGCAATGAAGCATTTTTTCCTAGAGCCTTTGGAGAGAGCATGGCTCTGCTGACACCTTGACTTCAGACTTCTTGCTTCCAAAACTGTAAGAGAATGTGTCATTGTTTCAAGCCACACAGTCTATGGTGATGTGTTATGGAAGCCCTAGGAAACTAATATAGCAGATAAGTTGTGTGTGTGTGTGTGCATGTATACGTGTGTGTGTGTCCGTCTGTGTAGGGAAATACCGTGGAAAGTTACTATTTGTTATAGCCATTTTATCATATATTTTATGAGATTTTATCTTTTCAAGTCAACTTTGCATGTGCTTTGTGTTGAAAGACCTGAGTTTGAACATTCATACCATATTTGGAATATGGGAATGTAACCATACCTAATTTAAGCAGTTGTGAGAAGCAAATGGAATAATGTATCTGAATCCATTTAATAAACTGTTCAACATTGTAAACATGCTGTTAGTAGTATCATAACTGTGTGAAGAGGCAGAAAACACTTTGGACTGGGGGATGGAAATCTTGGCCAGGGTTCAGTATTCACTTGACTTCCCGGCCATAACATCGAATGAATGGCCAGGACTCTCTTTGAGTAAATGAGCTTCTGAGAGGCTCCTAAAGAGGCGACCCCCATCCCTCACGGCTGAGAAGAGTGTGATCATCGTTTAAGGTTAAGGTCCAGGTTGGAAGACCTCCCCAAATTTAAACCTTGCTACAAAGTATTCTTTCATTTACTTTGAACCCTTCCTTCATTTACATCCCTTTAGGAACCAGGCCCTGTAGTGCTCAAGGAGGGTGGGAGAGTGAAACGAAAAGGAGTGAGATGCTGCTTCTGTTCTCGAGGACTTCACAGTCAACTTGCGGTAAGTGCTGCAGGGAGATGGCTGTAGTGGCTTTGGGAGTGTGCACACTTTTCCAACAGAAAGTACCAGGAACCCTGCCTGGGGAAGGCTTCCCGGAGGAGGTGAGGTGGAGCTGGTCCACGAAAATTGAGTGGGATTTCCAAGACATCAGTCTTTCGCGGGAAAAGAGAAATTAGGGCATGGTTTTAATTTAGTAAATATTTATTAATCAAGTACCCCATTCTAGGGTCCGTGCTAAGTGTCTGGGGTTGGTAGAGTCAGGAAGTATAAAATCAACTTAAGACATTTGGGAAAGATCTCCCTTTGTAGTAAGGAAGTTGAATCTGTACACAATGAAAGGAAACAAGGTAAAAGGCGCGAAGTCCATGACCATGACGAGGGCTGTGAGAACTGTAAATAGGGATTTGGGCAGTCCCGGCTGATTCTGAATAAAAGTCCGGAGGGGCGTTACTTTCGGGTCTCGGCCTGTGTGTCCCCAGCCCTTTGTTGTCCCCTCCGCAGGAAGGTGAAGGCTGTTTATGTAATCGGCGGCGCCTCGCGGGCGACTGGGGGAAGTGAATGGGGGAGCCTGGCCAGGGCTGACTGAGCGCCCCTGGAATCCGTGCTCCGGGCGTTGGCTCACTCCCGCCCCGACACCTGGGCCCGCCCTCCCGCTGCGCAGCCACGCGCCGGGCAGCAGCGTGGGCTGGCGGGCGACTCCCCACGCCTCCTGCAACACCGCCCTCTCCCTACCGGAGCGAGGAGGCAGGAAAAGCCTAGAGACGCCTGGTCCCATCCGCCTACCCAGTCCCCAGCCGGCCTGAAGGGAGGAAGAGGAAGGAACCCATAATCATCCCAAACTGGCGCAAATGGTGGGTTTTACTGTCCAGAGGTCATTTCGTCTCTGCGTTTCCAACCTCCTCGCCCTTTTACTTTTTTTGGGCTCACTCAGGAAACTGGAGCAGTCCTTCTCTGGGTTTAACTTCAGTCCCTCACATGGCAACACTAGGAATGATCAAGACTTTTGTTGCGGGTAGTGGTGATGTGGGTTTGAGAGGAGGATGCATCTGGTCGTGGGATTAATTTTGGTTTCTGAGTATTATGAAGAACTAGAAAAGTTTTGCGTATGTCGGTTTTCAGGATGGGGTTCAGATGGGTCAAAGCCCTGTGCAGGTCCACGGGGGCTGCAGGAGGTAAAATGGAGGAGGAGACAGGCGGACAAGCTGGGGTCAGTGGTCCACTCCCCTGTGTCTGTCTTAACCGAGATGCAGCTGGATGCTTGCACGTGGCAGCTTTTTCAACCACCTGTTGATAGACGTTCGTTTCCAGTCTTATCCTGTTACCAACTGTGCTGCAATGAACAGCCTTGTGTATAGCCTTTTAGTGTATTTGAGCCTTTCTTTTCGACCCAGGCATATTGTAAGGAGAGAGGAACTGAGATAGAAGGAATATTTAAAGCAGGGTCAGAGAAATCAGGACTGGATCAGGAGGAAGCCCGAAGGGTGTAACCTTCCCATAGGGCTGCTGGAAGCCTAGCTTCAACCCTTCCAGCTGCAGCACATCCCAAACTGGGGCGAGAAGCGAGTGAGGAGGAGATGCAGAGGAAGGCAAAGAACAACTCTAGCGACCCAGGGTGATCCGGGTGCCGGAAAACAGAAGCTGGAAAAAGGAGATCTGCCCCGGAAAGGAGGCATGGAAAGTGTAGATGTGGGTCCTCGAGGTGGCGTCGTAGAAGACTACCTCTCCGCCCTAGTAATCCAAGCGGACGCCCACTTTGTTCGGACAGATCGGGAGATCCTCCCGGGAACCGCTCTCGATGAGCGCCTGGCACTGGGAGCCGCTGCTGTGCAGCTCCACGAAGCCGGTCAAGGGCTCCACCTCCAGGAAGCCCCGCCTGGGAACCAGCTCCAAGGCCAAGCCCCGGCACGCAGGCCCCGCCCCCGGGCCGTTGGAGCTCCGCCTCCCAGGCGCCGCGGCCGGAGCAAAGGCCCAGCGAGCCCAGCACTCAGCGGAACCTGTAGAAGCGTCGGGGGTTGCCCCGCTTCTGCGAACCGCCCTGGGATGCGAGGTTCAGCGTCACTATCTCATCCTGGGAAAGGATGAGATCCGGGTGGGCCGAGGCTGCGTCCAGTGTCACAGGGGCTGTGTGAAGATGAGGAGAAAGAGGTGGCCAACCCCGGGTCAAGTTGTCCAAACCCCCTACCTTCCTCTGATACCCCCGTCCCACCACCCGCCCCGCTCGATGCCGCCAGAGAGGCTTTCTCTTCCCAGTCACAGCCTTTGTGGTCCCCAGAGAAGTCTTAGGCCCGGCACCGCCTCCTCCTCCTCAAAGTTAATCCCTAAATTTCACAATGTGTTGTTCTGTGGGCGCAGAGAGAAGTTCTTCATTGGTGGTGGTGGTGAGATCATTTCAACACCCGAAGATGAGACCATCTCTTCCTTGTCCATTTCCCGTGGCCCCTAATTCCCATGTCTAAGACAAGAATTGAGTCTAGTATAAGAGGGTCAAGGCTCAGACTTTCTGAGGGCCAGTAATTTTCTAAAGTGGAGTTCCTCAAACACAGGGATGAGTGAAAGTGTTGGAATACAAAAGGAGGAATAGTCATCCCCCGCCACACACACATACACTTTTACTAGGATTCCACGTTCAGTCGCAGTTTATTAAAGTTAGAAGTGTCTCCATCCACCCCCTACAGAGGCTTGCGTGGTGGTTCCAGTCTGCTAAATATTTCAGAATGGGGACCTCATTCTATCTACTGATTTATCAAATCTCATTAATTAATTTCCCTTGCTGATATGAGGGGTTGGGAGAGAAGGGGGACGTGGGAATGTAAGGAAGAGCGAGAGTGGTCGGGCTCATGGGGTTTGATGGACTGTGACCCAGGCTGGCGTTGCTCCTCTCCGGATTTCACTCCTGGCTGAACTGGTGCCTTCGGTAAACAGCTGCTTAAAGAGTGCGGGGACTGCTGCAGGGACTTCCTTTTTCCACTAGGCGGCACCACAGCCAAAGTGATAAGAAGTCAAGCGTGGGGCGGGTGGCTGGAGATTGTCTCTTCCCCTCCTTTTGCTCAAGAATTCGTCCATTCCTTCTCCAACTCTCTTCACCACCACCCCCGCCCCCATCTCCACTCTCAGTAGCCCGAGCCCTCCCATTCTCCACTCCTTCGACCCAATTCCACTAAGTCAAGAACCGTGGTCGGTCTCAGCCACTCACTCAGCGCCACTCTATGCTCCGAAGTCCGTGTAGCACCACCGCTCCCCGTGTTCTCTGAGCTGGCTTAGCTTGAAGGAACCTCACAAAACCAAGCCCGGATCGCTGTCAGCCACTCACTCAGTGCCGCATGGAGCTCCTCGGACAGCGCAACGTCAAATGTCTTCGTATCCTGAGAGCTCGCTCCTTGACCAGAAATCTCATCATAAGAGGCCAGGAGACATACTGGAAAAGTGACTTTCCCAGCAGACGAGGCCCGAAACAGGGAGTGGGATGGGGCTGAAGAGTGGTGATTTGGTGGCCCCGATGTAGTTCTGCCGCCTTTGCGGGAGAAGGAAAGGAGAAAAGAGGTCAGCGGGAGCACCTCGGCAGCAATCCTCCATTGCCAGACAGCACAGCTGAGCTCTACATACAGCAGGAGGGATGGAGGTGAAACTCAAGAAAGTACACCTGAACAAGTCGGAGCGCCCTCTGTTTCCTGGCAGAGGTGTAATTTGGGGAGGAACTGAGGAAATGGAATAAATGAATTCATTCATTTATTCATTTATTCCATTTAGTGGAATTGGGTGGATACAGCATTTTGACCACCTGTAGACTTAGAGGTCCCTTAGTATTCAGAGACAGGACTCTTACCTGCAGAAGATGACCCGGGCTCTGAGGTTTTGTTCATTTTATGATTATTTTTCTGTAACAAGCCCCCTAAAAATTGGGGAGAGAAAACCTATTTGGTCTTGATAACCAGAAGCTGCAAATTAAAAACAAAAACAAGCACCCTGCCATCATCAATCAGAACAGTCAATGGTTCTCAGTGGGACCCATTCCCCACCCAGGGGGAAGTGTGGAAACCTTTCAGGTTGTCTCAGTGACAACAAGAGTGTGGTTCTCTACTGGCTTATAGGGCTTTCTGGGGCCTGGGATACTAAGCATTTAACAGGGCAAAAGTCATGGAGCATAACAAAGATGGCCTTTCTAAACACCGGTAGCTCCTTTTGTGGAGAAATGCTGGTGGAATAGGATCCCTAAATCCTGCTCTCTGGCTTTGGAATGCATTCTGTAGTTTCTGGCTTTGGAGAAAGGAGTTCTAATTCTCTCTCTTTCACTTAATGATCATATGACCTGGGTAACTTACCTCCCCTCCCGGAAGCTACATGGACCTCACTGTAAGTTGCAGATAATAACACCTATCTTGGAGGATAGTTGTGGGGTTTTGAAATATTAGATGCGCACATAGTGGTCCTTTAAGAAATGGTACTTCTACTGTTATTGTCTTAGGTGGCAGAACCATATCTAATGACTTTAGCACAGGCTGTTATTACAGTGGGTCTCCATCCCCTGAGCTGTACTGACCTCACACCCAGAGGAGTTTGCCTCGAAACCTGCTGCCCTGTAGGGGCAGCAAATACTACAGAGGTGGAGCTGCCTCCTTCTTGTCCCACTTTTTCCTCCCTGTCTCTAGGAGTGAAGAAATACATTTGTAATTTTCTATTACTTCTGAATACTTCAAAGTTTGGGATTAGTGACTGTTTTGTGAGTTACCTGAGTTTAAAATAATAAAACAACCATATGCCTGTTCTCTCAATTGGCTGAGGAATCGGCATTCACTTATATCTGGCCTTCATGTAATCATAGAGACACAATTCTTCCCCTTTTCTCACTTTCCCCAAATGGCAGAAGCAACCAACCATCATTTCTCACTTACAGCTCTTCATGTCATTTTTATTCATGCTTTTGAAGAATCTGTTTTCATCTTTTTTCCTATCAGCCTGGAGTTGGTCTGGGGAATAAAGAATGGGATGAAATGGTGAGAGTCCAGAGGGGTTGAGCAAAGAACTCACTATCACACAGCAAGGCACTAATTTGAAATGCCTGGGAGAAGTAGAAGCTGCATTTGACTCTCATATTCTTATTGGACCAGGAAGGTATGCAACCCTTGAGAGATGCCCTTTCTGATTTCCTGTGGTGACTGCCTAGCCCAGCACTGTCCAGTATGAATGATGAATGTAATCTGAGTCACGAATGTGAGCCACTTATATATTTTTAAATTTTCTAGTAGTCACATTTAAAAAGTAGAAAGAAACTAGTAAAATTAACTTTAATTATATATTTTATTTAACTCAATATTCTCAAAATGTTATTTCAACATGTATTATAAAAATTATTGCTATCTTTTACAGTCTCTTTTTACACTCAATCTTGTGAAATTAATGATTCTTCACATATAGCATGTTTAAATTTGGACTAGCTACATTTCAAGTGCCTGTCAGCACATGTGGCTAGCAGCTACTAAATTGGACAGTGCAGAGCTAGCCCCTTTCTCACTGCCTGACAAAGGTAGGTGCTCAGGACAAAGAGTGCCTTGAGGCTTCACCCTTTAGCTTCAGAAGGCCTACTGTAGGGCTAACCACCCAGGAGCCAGGTGGGGTAAGGGGGGGCCCCACTCTCCTAAAGCCTGGATGGCAGTCCTGCCCTCTTTCCCATGAAAGAGGGCTTGAGAGGGGGAACGAAGACAGAGCTCCTGCAAGGGGAGGCCAAGTGCCTTCATCTCCCAGTTCACCCCTGCCAGAAGAGACTCCTTTTGCAGGTAGAGGATGAGCCCAGAAGCTGGGGACAATGGCCCATTCCTGGCCTAGATTTCCTGTAGGGGTGCTGGACTGAGTGGAGAACTATAGGGTGGAGCCCCTAGATGGGGAGCTACTTCTGGCCCCAGCACCCTTCCCCCAGTGTCTTGCAGCCCCAAGACAGCACAAGACAGCCTGGGGCTAGGTAGTGGGACAAGCGTGGGCAGCTTCCCTGAGAGCCACCAGCCCAGTCATGGGGACTGCTCAGGGGAGACGCGGGGGCCCTCTTAGGAGGGGTCTGCAAACCTAGAGCATAGGAAACACTGCCTGGGAGCACTTCACCTACAAGGGCCTTTAGCGGCTTCAGGGCCCAGCCACACCCTTCTCCACGTACATGTTCCAGACCCAGTCACCCCGAGCAGGGAGAACCAACCCTCATAATAAGAACTGTGGAGATTGGACCTGTGGTATAAGTAGACTCCCTACCACCTCCTGTATTTCCTAGGCTTTAATAGGGCCAGGTGGCCATTGTGCCTTCTTCTTTGGGGTAAAAATAAAATAAAAATAAGAGAAAAAAAAAAGAAGGAAATAGGGCCAGGTGGGAGTTGGGGGACTGTGTGTGTGTGAGTTTGTGTATGTGAAAGAGGGAAAGAAAAGGGGGATACAGAGTAGAGCACACCAGTCTCCCCAACTCCAAACCTGATGAAGTGGAAAGGGCTGGGCTCCTTTATTGAAATTCCAAACTAGAACCAAACTATTCTTGACCTGAAGAGCCTAGAAAGGTGCTGGATCGGGCTGGACGTGGTGGCTCACGCCTGTAATCCCAGCACTTTGGGAGGCTGAGGCGGGTGGATCACAAGTCAGCAGTTCGAGACCAGCTTGACCAACCTGGTGAAACCCCGTCTCTACTAAAAATACAAAAAACTAGCTGGGCATGGTGGTGTGCGCCTGTAACACCAGCGACTTGGGAAGCTGAGGCAGGAGAATTGCTTGAAACCAGAAGGCGGAGGTTGCAGTGAGCCGAGATTGCGCCACTGCACTCTATCCTGGGCAATAAGAGCAAAACTCTGTCAAAAATAAATAAATAAATAAACAAATAAATAAAGTTGCTAGATCGGCTGAGATCATGCCCAGTGGGGTGGGAGGAGCTAGACAAAGCAGAGCAGTTAGTGGACAAAAGAAAAGCTCAGACAACAAAATTAAGAATAAAACAAAACATGCTTTCCTGTTTATGTCTGCCGAGTGGAGATTCCCGGCTGAATGGGTGGAGATCTTGGGGCATTGCCCTGGTCCTCCTTTTCTGTAGTCCCAAGGGGAAGTGTTTGTGTATGGGGGGCTGGGGGTTGGGGTGGGGGAGGTGGGTGTGGAACTCCAGGTGATAATTTCAGAAGATTCCATCTAGCTGTCTTTATGCCCACCTTAGACCAACACAGTCTTCACATTAAGGGGAGTCCTTACAAATACTAACCCTTCTTCCTAGTTGCAAACACAGAAAGGTTTATGAAAAATATCTGGCCGAACATCTAAAACCCAAGTCATCCACTACTGTTCTGCTGATTTCTGTTTCCCTGTAAGGCTGGAAGAGGTTTCTCCCCAGAATGTCACTGATTTTGAATTTATTTTCTCTTCTTCTGTAGGCAGGAGGAGACACCAGTGTGCACCAGAGAAGGAGAAGTCAGAGATGACAGTCCCTGCCTGAGGCCATCTCTGGTCCACCAGACAACTCATCACCAACTTCCCAACAGCCACTGCTCTAGGCCAGGTGTCCACATGGGGAATAGGTCCAGGCCCTCTATGGCTCTCGCAGGAGTCAGGGAGGCAGATAAATAACATATCACGAAGACAGAATATAAGAAATGCCTGGGAGGAGGCATACTGATGCGTGGAAAGTACTCAGCCAGAAGCCTGGCACTAGAAGGGCCCAGGGATTGTTGGCATGTATGAGTCACAGTTCCATTTCAGTGGAGTGAGCAGGGAGAGAATCTCCTGGAAGTAGGTGAATAGAGAAAATACAGCCTCTTCCTTACCTTTGAATTTTTTCAGGCTCCCTGTGATGGAGTCGTGTCTTGATTTTGCTTCACTGAGTTTTTTCTCCAGTTCTAGAGGAACAGGGGTTGGGTTGAGAAACTGAAACTCTTCACTTCTAGGAAGATGTGGTTGAGCTGGTTGGTGAGATCAGGGGATGAGGTGTGGGAGAAGGAGGATCTGAGATATGGGGTTGAGAAATGAGGGGATGAAGACCTGGGGGTAGAACTGAGAGCGGTGGATCACACCTGTAATCCCAGCACTTTGGGAGGCTGAGGCGGGTGGATCACCTGAGGTCAGGAGTTCAAGACTAGCCTGGCCAACATGGTAAAACCCGGTCTCTACTAAAAATATGAAAATTAGCCAGGCTTGGTGGCAAGCGCCTGTAGTCTCAGCTACTTGGGAGGCTGAGGCAGGAGAATCACTTGAACCTGGGAGACAAAGGTTGCAGTGAGCTGAGATTGCACCACTGCACTCCAGCCTGAGCAACAAGAGCAAAGCTCCATCTCAAAAAAAAAAAAAAAAAAAAAGAAGACCTGGCGGTTAAGGGATAGTGAGCTGGGAGTCAGAAAGTCAGGGCTAGGGATATGGGGCAGGAGTGAGGTAGGGCATAGGGAGATATGGAAATGAAGATGGGAGATGGAGACAGAGAGGAGGGAAAAAAACAGGGTCAGGGAGACAGAGTAGGGGACCCAGGAGCTATTCAGTTGAGCAAGGGGGCATTCAGGAAATAGTAGAATCTGTGCTGAAGAAGGAGGAAGGCTGAGAAAACAGCTGGTTTCTTTAACAACCAACCACTTGCTAATATGGTTGGCATAGGCATTCCCCGGCTGCAGCCTAAATGTATGAATGCAGAGTTAGAGGTGGGTGGGTATTTCTGAGAGAGGAATGTTGACTGCATTTGGATATACGCTGAGAATTGTGTGTGGATGAATCAGTAGGCAAAATACATTTGGGGTGGCCCATCATACCTGCACAAGACGACTTTGATATCCTAGAAGAGAAAGAGAAACAGCACAGCCTCAGCACTTGGCTGATTCCCAGGAGCCAAGGAGGAGATACAGAGCCTGCTGGGTGTGGGGCAGAGCAGGAGGAGTAAGAACCCCTCCAAGTCTCTCTTACCCCATCCTCCTCCCCTCTCCCCACCACGAAGGGCTTCTCCAAGAAGCACTGCTCTGCCAGTAAGCAGAAAAGTGTTTTGACCTCAAGAAGAACTGAGTGAAGAAGAGAAGAGTGAGATTTAGAAGATGAATTTGGCTCTGAGACTGAACAAGGGAGCCTGCTAGCCAGGGCAGGAGAAAGGCTAGAATGGCTTTGCATGATCTTTCTTAAAATAAATAAATAGGTTTTTGAACCTGTGGGAGAATAGATGACTTGAGGAGGAATCATCTCAGCTTGTTTTAAGCACCAGCTAGACTTGCACTGTCCAATATGGTAGCCACCAACCACATGTGGCTACTGAACATTGGAAATTGTGGCTAGTGTGACAAAGAACTGAATTTTTAATTTCATTTTTACTAATTCAAATTTAAATTAAAAATAGAGGCCAGGCACGGTGGTTCACGCCTGTAATCCCAGCACTTTGGGAGGCTGAGGTGGGCAGATCACTTGAGGTCAGGAGTTCGAGACCATCCTGGCCAACATGGTAAAACCCCGTGTCTGCTAAGAATACAAAAATTAGCTGGGCGTGGTGGTGGGGACCTGTAATCCCAGCTACTTGGGACTTGGGCCTAGGAGGCGGAAGTTGTAGTGTGCCAAAATCGCGCCACTGTACTCCAGCCTGGGCAACAGAGCAAGATTCCATCTCAAAAAATAAAATAAAATAAATAGAAGAAGGGTAAAGTACTTTTTCCATTAAACACAACTTTATTGATTTGGTAAGACTATATTTTACTTTAACAATTGACAATTTAGCATCTGAATTGAGATGTGCCAAAGTGAAAAATATACACACAATTTCAAAGACTCAGTGTAAAAAAAAAAAAAAAAAAAAAACCACCAAAAACCCAGAATGTGAAATATCTCATTAATACTTTTAAAATATTCATTACAGGCTGAAAGGATAATATTTCAGATATATTGAGTTAAAATATTTTATTAAAATTAATTTCACTTTTATCATTTTAATGTGACTAACCAGAAAAATTTGTAATTCCATATGTGGCTGAAACTACATTTCTAAATCACACATGTGGCCAGAATTATATTTATGAATTACATATGTGGCTCACATTTTCATTCTAATACATGCGGCTCACATATTGCTATTGGACAGCACTGGGCTAGAGGTAGGATGGTTGGGGCAATCTCAGGTATTCTGCCAGTGGTCCATGCTCTGACCTGAGACTAGGGATGGGCTGCTACCTCTCTGCAATTCTGCCCCCAAGGGACTCACCTCCAGCAGCTGCCTGGGTGGCATGTTCTGCTTGGTCTTCAGGGAATCAACGAGCTTCTTGAGATCGTTCAACTGTGGCTCAGTGGAGGCAACATAGTGTTTCCCCGCTTCCGTTCCCTCATGACCCAGCCAGTAAATCCGTGATAGCAGGAAATTCTTCTCCTCCTCTAGGACTTGATGCAGGAGTTCAAATTCTGTGAGGATCCTTTGCTTCTCATGTTCTACCTGGTCCTAAGAAACAGGGACAGGCAGAGGGTGAGAGGATGGCCTCGAAGGTCCTTCTAGCCCACTTTATTCAGCCATTAATTTTATTAAGTTTGTGTGGAATTCCCAACCAGAGCAATGTGCCAGGGCAGACCTGGAAGAAAGGAAAGGAGAGGAGAACAAACTTCTAAAAGCACCTACTACGTGCTCAGCTTTAAGCGAAATTATTAATTTATGGTTTACCACTTGCCTTCAAGGAACTGTCTAATACAATTCCAGAAGGCTTTTCAGTTTATAATCTTTCATATAGATTTTATTCCTTTCACGCACACAGGAAAATAGGTAAGTGGGGTCACAATGTCTTCATTTTCCTTCTGTCTTTTTTTTTTTTTTTTTTGAGACAGTCTCTCACTCTGTCACTCAGGCTGGAGTGCAGTGCACGATCACGGCTCACTGCAGCCTCATCCTCCCAGGCTCAAACAATACTTTCACCTCCCAGCCTCTCTAGTAGCTGGGACTACAGGCGTGTGCTACCACGCCCGGCTAGTTTTCTTTCTTTTTTTTTTTAATTAAGAGGAGAGTCTCTCTATGTTGCCCAGGCTGGTCTCAAACTCCTGGGCTCAAGCGATCCTCAGCCTCCCAGAGTGCTGTGATTACTGGCGTGAGCCACCGCGCCCGGCCAATGTCTTCATTTTCTAATTGGGGAATCCGTTGAGGGCGCAGCTCGGCCTTAAAAACCTGTACTTGCGATTCTAAGACCAGCGCGGGTTTTCCGTGCCCCACCTTGTCTGCCGGTGGAGACTGAGCAGTCAGCCCGCTGTAATAGCGAGGCCGACGCGGGAGGTGATGCCGCCTGGCCGGTCAGGTGCTGAGGCGCCGAGGAGAGGACATGGCTCACTGGATCTTTTTCTGAGGGGTCAGTGTAATAGGGGATTCCAGGAGCTTTGGCAGAGATGTTTCTGCTTCCAGAGATCGTGGGATGGAGTTTTTCTTACCGTGAAGACATCGACCCTGTGTACACCTTGTGCCTTCACTTGTACTGTCTCCTTCTCCTTTTGCTGCAAGACTTGGATCTGCTCTTGAATCTGCCCCTGCGGAAAGAGGGCCGTTTGGACAGGCTGTGCCTGGAGATTTCTGGCCTCATAAAATCCTCCTGGTCTCTTAGGAGAGCTGGTGACACTCTCCAGGTGAGTCCTTGTGTAATTATTAAGGACTCGCCTTTCTCAAGCTGGCGGGGAAAGGGGTTGCTGAGAAGGGAGAAATCTGGAGCCTAAGTGACCTAAATGACCAGAACATAGTTATTTATGACTAACTAGGACTATGGATGGTGCTTTGGAATTATCAAAGAACTACAAACTTCCCTTCATCTGTCCTACCAACAACTTTAAGAGAGTTGTTTTGTTTTTGCCATTTGAAAGGTGAGGTACCTGAGGCTCAGAGAGGTAAAGTGATTCCTTGCAGGTTGTACAGTAAACTCACAAGACTGGGCTTGAGCCCAAACCTTCTGAGTCAAATTTTCACATCCTTTCCATTCTCCATTGCACCTTGATTTAGAGAGTCAGCAGTTCCCCAGACTCAGCTCTTTGAACCCACTGTGCCTGACTGCGAGCTGCCCACTCAAGCCCAAGGGGTGGGGGCAATGGGGTGCAAACCCTCAGTGGGAAGGTAGCAGTTTCCAGGGCCTCACTGAACTCCTGGGCTGATGGGGGAACAGGGAAGAAACCTCAAATGCCTACCTGATAATTCTGGGCAGCTTCTTCGATCAAGCTGACATTATGGGATTTGTGGTCCTTGGATTCACGACACACAAAACAGAGGAACTTCCCATCATCCTCGCAGAAATAGTGGAACATCTCCTGGTGCCTCGGGCATGTAGCCTCTTTCCTTTTGGACTGCACCTCAGAGGCTTGTAGAGCTTGGATTTTCTCCACCAGATTCCGCAACAGCGAGTTGAACCTGATTGCGTTCTTCCTTACGGAAGTTTTGCAGAGGGGACATTTGAAAAATCCACATGATGTTTCCCCAATCTGAGTGATGCATTTGAGGCAGAAATTGTGCCCACAGTCGATGGTGACAGGTTTCTGCAGAATGTCCAGGCAGATGGGGCAGATCACTTCCTCTTGCAGTTTGTTCACAAACTGCCCACTGGCCATGACAGAACAACAGGGCTGTTTCAAGACTGTAGGAAGCTGTGCCAAGTCTGTAGGAGCCCCGGAGTCCACTGTGGATACTGTTTCTAGGAAGGGAGAAGGGAGTCAGAGAAAGTGGAGGTCAGAGATTCTGCCAATTAGTTAGAAGAGCAGAGAGAGAGGAAAAGAAGAGGGAGAAAAAAATAAAGAAATGATAGAAAAGCGTAAAATTTAGGATCTAGAAAATATTATAAAGAGAGGAAAACAGATGGGCAGTCCTACCTTGCTACCTCTTGAGAACAAATGGATACTTTGAATGTGTAATAGGCTGCTTATAAAGTGAAATAAGTTGTCCTGAACTTTGGACTAAAGGTATGTTTGTATGGTGGTTGACTAAGATCAGAATGACCGGGGCACCAAACACCACTTATGGGGCATTTCCCAATCAGCTCTGAGTAGGGAGTGGAGGGGTGGGTGGTGATGCCTACTGAAAGGTCACAGCCAGTTCACTGCAATGCTTTGGGCATCTTGTATGCAAAGTTCAAGCCTCGGTAGAGCATCTGGAAAGTAGGGGAAGGGCAATTCTCTACCTCAGGTGCTTTGGCTCCTCACAGAATTTTGTGAAAATGTGGAGGTTATCATCACCTACCTTGGGGAATTTCCAGTCACAGGGTCAACCAACCACTCCCTAGCTCAGTAGGATAGGCAAGGAACTTCCTTTCTAAAGAGTTGTTCTTTGTTTTTGCACTTTGCTCTTGCCCCTGGTGATCTTCTGTCTCCCCACAACACCTGTAGTAGTCTGTCCTCTGTTGATTTTTTCTCTGTATGTCTCCAGTATGCTGGTGTCTCCGTGCCCATTCTTTGCTTTGCCAATTCTGTCTATATGTTCTTCTTCTTCCTTCTTGGTGCTTCTCTGATCCCTGACTTGCCTTCTATGGCTTTTGTTATGACTAGGAATATATCAACCAGTGTTACATACATTCCCTTCTGTACATTCATGTCCTAACCTTCCCTCCTTGCCTCTTGTCTTAAGGAAAAGGGTGCTTCCTCCCTACCCCTTCTCTTGGTATAGCTTCCACCCTCACCTCCTCACTCTCCATTATCAGCCGTCTGTCCCCAGCAAGAAGTACACCATTAATTTTTGTCTGATCTTAATCTTAGGTCAAACAGGGCTTGTGGATGATTATTATAATAATAGCCAGAGTGATCATACACTCTGCTTTGCCTGGAACCATCCTGGGTTTCACTTTGTCCTGGTGTAATTATTAATAGCACCTCCTTTCACTTTCAGAAATGTCCAGTTTGGACTATAAATTATGTGGCTCCCCTTATAGCAACTGCTGTAAACCAAAGACTTTCAGAAATGTTATACCTCCAGACCTTTCTTTTTGTTTGTTTTAGGGTTAAATTAAAACAGTCTAACATCTGTAAATTGTTTTACTTACACTCCTAAACTGCTGGCCCCTAGAAGCAGAATTTAACTTTTGACAGGTTTTGTTTGACTGGCATGATGATTTAGAAAATAATGATAATGTAGATGCCTTTAGAGAGGGTGGCTATGTTCCCCACCGCTCTGCTACCTCACGTCTCCTTGGCCCTTGAAGGCATTTGACATTATGACTCTGATTTATAGATTTATTTTGCTTATATTACCTCATTTAAGTCTCACCTGTAAGAAATTATCTTTATCCTTTCTCAAAAAAGGAACTCAGTATTCTTCAGAATCACTTGGAAAACTTGTTAAAATTCAGATTTGCTGAACTCCAGTAGAGACTTTCTCTTTCAACAGGTCCTTGGTGGAGCCTGATGATTGACATCTTAAGCAAATTCTCTGGAGAAGTCGATGCTCCTGATGGAGGCTCACACATTGATAACCCCTGGTTTAGAGACACTACTAATTGTTCCAGCTCATCCAGCTAATAAATGACAGATCTCAGACTTAATTCCAGGTTTCCTATTCCACATTAAGTCTTCTTTATTCTTTCTTGTTTCAGCATTAATGAAAACAAATAGTAATCTTTAAAAATGATAAACAAATATTTTAAAAGAACATTGGTATTTCAATGAAGCTGGGCAACCCAGCAGAGAGAATGAAAATACTCATATGAACACCACTGGAGAGTTTCAAAGAACTGTCACCAAACAGGTACTGATGGCTTCATGAGGAAGGAAATTTAGACATAAAAAATGAGAATCTACAGTGTTTCAAAGGTGCTTTACTCTCTCAGAATTATTATTGTTATCCTGGGTCATCCATCCACTGGACTGAATGGAGATATATATATACATATATTTTTTTTCTTTCTTCTTTCTTTTTTTTTTTTTTTGAGACAGAGTTTCACTATTATTGCCCAGACTGGAGTGCAATGGCGTGATCTCGGTTCACTACAACCTCTGAATCCCCGGTTCAAGTGATTCTCCTGCCTCAGCCTCCCAAGTAGCTGGGATTACAGGCACCTGCCACCACATCCAGCTAATTTTTTGTATTTTTAATAGAGACGGGGTTTCACCACGTTGGCCAGGCTGGTCTTGAACTCCTGACCTCAGATGACCCACCTGCCTCAGCCTCCCAAAGTGCTGGGATTACAGGCGTGAGCCACTGTGCCCAGCCCTTGAATGGATATCTTAAACTCTTAGTAGGCTCAGTAGTCTGAAACCAAATGCCTCCAATTTGCAAGGGCTAGGGTCTTGAGATAGTTGGTATTGTGTTAGTTCCAAAGGACTTCCAAGCCAATTCTGAGGCATAGAGTTTATAAAAATTAGCCATAGAACAGGAAATGATGCAGAGCCTCATGCACATGAGACAGCTGTCACACACAAGAAAGCAGACACAGAGCCATGCAGCAGCGAGTGCACAGATCTGGAGGGGACCTGCCAAGACTAATGGGATGAGACACCTTATCAGAGGCCAGTGAAGGCTAGAGGCAGCTCAGTTGTCAGACTAGACAGCCCCACAATGTTACATAAGCCTCCCTGCATCACGATTCCAGCTACAGAAGCTTCCCCTGCCTCAGGATTCACATTTCCGGGCCTATGTGAATTGGTAGAATGTCTATGGAGGAAAATAATGTGATATGTTTCAAAACTACAAATGCTCATTCCCTTTATCCCAGAAATTCCACCTCTGGGAATTTAGTCTACAGATATACTCACACATATAAATTTATTTTGGACTTTGTGGTAATGTTTGCATTAGCAAAATATTAGAAAACAATCTAAATGTACATCAGTATGGAAATGTTTAAATAAATTATAGCCCAGCTTTATAACAGAATAGAAATAAAAAAGAATCAGGGAGTTCCTTATTTACATATGGAAAATATGGCCAAGATATGTTGTTATGTGAAGAAAGGAAAAAACAAATAATGCAGAAAAATGCATGTACTATGCTACCATTTGGGTAGAAAAAAAATACTTATTTTCTTGAATATCCAAATAAGTTCTTTCTGGAAGGATAAGAATTTAATAACTAACAATGGTTGTCTCTAAGGAGAGGGACTGACTAGCCAGGGAACAGGGGTGGAAGAGAGGCTTTTCTTTGTATGACATATTACATTTTGTGAATTTTTAATTGTATAAATACATTAAGTTTTTTTCTTTTTTAGTACTTTTTACATTATGTTTTACAACATTAAATAGTAAATCAAAAAATGGACAGAGAATGAAATGGACATTTGCAGAGCAATAAAACCAATTAACCAATAAATACTTGAAAACAGTAATCTTGAAAATGCACGCTCAACTCATTGGCTCATGCCTGTAATTCCAGCACTTTGTGAGGCCAAGGCAGGCAGATTTCTTGAGCATAGGAGTTCAAGAGCAGCCTGGACAACATGGTGAAACCCTGTCTCTACAAAAAATACAAAAGTTAGCTGGGCATGGTGGCACACACCTATAGTCCCAGCTTCTTGGAAGGCTGATGCAGGAGGATTGCATGAACCTGCGAGATCGAGGCTGCAGTGAGCCGTGATCATGCCACTGCACTTTAGCCGCCCTACTGCACTCCAGCTTGGGTAACAGAGCAAGACGTTTCCTTAAAAAAAAAAAAAAAAGAAAGAAAGAAAGAAAAAGAAAAAAGAAAATGCCAATTAAAATAAAAGAAGATATCAGTTTATATCTTAAGTTTAAGTCTGGAATATCAAATATAGCCAAGGACATGGAGAAATAGGTACTCCTATACCCTACTGGTGAGAGTATAAATTACAATAATTTAAAAATATTTAGTAGAATTTAAACGGTGTACTTTCATTTCAAGGTTCTGTAATGATAATGATGATGATGAAAATACTGCTACCAGTAAATAAAAGCTAACATTTCTTGAATGCTTACCATGTGCCAGGCACAGTCCCAAGCATTTTGCGTATTAACTCATTTATATAGAGAAGTATTATTATTCCCATTTTGAGGACAAGTCAACGGAGATCAAGAGAGATTAAGCAATTTGCCCCAAAGGTCATTCAGTAAGTAAATAGTGGAATGGGGACTTGAACCCAGGTAGCCTCTAGAGCCTTCTTACACCCTGTATGATTCTGCCTCTCTAGAGAAAACCTTGCACATGTGCACTCAGAGATGCATGTAACAGTATTAATATTGGCTGGGTGCGGTGGCTCCCGCCTGTAATCCCAGCACTTTGGGAGGCTGAGGCGGGCGGATCACGAGGTCAGGAGATCAAGACCATCCTGGCTAACCCGGTGAAACCCTGTCTCCACTAAAAATACAAAAAATTAGCCAGGCATGGTGGCCGGCGCCTGTAGTCCCAGCTACTCGGGAGGCTGAGGCAGGAGAATGGCGGGAACCTGGGAGGCGGAGCTTCCAGTGAGCCGAGATCGCGCCACTGCCCTCCAGCCTGGGCGACAGGGTGAGGCTCCGTCTCAAAAAAATAAATAAATAAATAAATAAATCCTATGTCAGGGTTTTTCAATGATAGCACTGTTGACATTTTAGGCTGGATAATTCTTTGGTGTGTGGTGGCCCTGTGCACTGTAGGATGTTTACCAGCATCCCTGGCCTCTACCACTAGATTCCAGTAGCACTCCTATCCCCCAGTTGTGACAAACAAAAATGTCTCCAAGCATGACCAAATGTCCCTGGGGGACAAAACCTCTGATGGAAAACCAGTGATCTGTATGTAGTCATATGGCTAGGTCTCAAAACAGTAATGAGTATGTGGTGATTTATATACACTTAGAAACACACAACACTTCATATAGTTTGCAGTTTCCATATATGTGATAGAAGTTTAAACACAAGGCCTGAAAGGATACATACTAAATTTATGGCAGTGTTTGCTTCCGGGAGGAGAGAGAGAAAGAGCGAGAGAGGAATGGAACTAAGAAGAGAACTAAATGGACAGAGGGATTCTCAAATTTTTTTGAGATTAAAATTTAAAAAATTAAATCTGTAATATTTAATTTTTAAAAATCTGAGGCAAACATAGCAAAATGTTTGTATTTGTTAATTCTAGGTTGTGGTTATAAGGTGCTTGTTATATGATTTTCTATTATTTTCTATATTAAGTTTTTCCAAAGTAAAATATTTTAGTTAAAATAGGAAAAATGTTGAAAATGAACAATGGATAGAAATAAAAATAGAAATTCAGAGGAATTCTAAAATAAATTCTAAAATTAAGAAAAAGTTCAACTCCTTTCCTACTACTCAGGAAAATACAAATAATGCGATACAAATACAAAAATGAGATAAACTTTGTACTCATCAGATTGGCAAAATTTTTCAAAAATGTCCAGAGCTGATGAGGATGTGGAAAAATGGGACTCTTCATATGTGGCTGGTTTCAGTGTGAATGGGCACTATCTTTTTCAAAAGCCTCAAGGCAAATGACTTAAAATGCATTTGAACGGTGACTACAAAGAATATTATAAGAAAAGTAAAATGCACACAGGATTTCAAAAGGGTTTTTAGGCTTCAAGATAAGTCAGGGACGGTGGGGTCGAAATGAAGTCAAGGGACAGCTTACACAGAGATACCCTATAACCAGTCTCCCAACAAGAGAGCTAGATTTTATTTAGTTAAAAATAGAAATTAGAAACAGGAGGTAGTAAAAACAGGGTTTTCTTCCTTTCTTTCTTTTTTTCTTTCTTTCTTTCTTTCTCTCTTTCTTTCCTCCTTCCTTCCTTCCTTCCTTCCTTCCTTTCTTTCTTCCTTCCTTTCTTTCTTTCTTTCTTTCTTTCTTTTTCTTTTTCTTTTTCTTTTCTTTTCTTTTCGAGACAGAGTTTTGCTTTGGTTGCCCAGGCTGGGGTGCAATGGTGCAATCTCAGCTCACTGCAACCTCCGCCTCCCAGGTTCAAGCGATTCTCCTGCCTCAGCCTCCCAAGTAGCTGGGATTACAGGGCTGTGCCACCATGCCTGGCTGATTCTTGTATTTTTAGTAGAGACAGGGTTTCACCATGTTGATCAGGCTGGTGTTGAACTCCTGACCTCCAGTGATCAGCCCGCCTTGGCCTCCCAAAGTGCTGGGATTACAGGCATGAGTCACAGCACTTAGCCATAAAAAAGTTCTGTTTAAAATACCAGAATGATTAAAATGTTTGCTTTCTGTTTGCATGTATATCATCCCATTAAAAATGAGTTTAAAGTTTTCTATAGAGATATATACATGCAAACAGAAAGAAAAAAAAATAGGAGGGCCATCAAAATAAATGGAGCAACAAAGTTCAGTTTATATATAGCAGTCAATATAACATTGGGCTGAATTGCTCAACCAAAGGATCAGTCATGAGATTAAAAACCCCAACAAAATGTAAAGCTCCCTTTCTTCCTTAGAGAAACCCATTAAAACATAGAAGCATAAATCCAGAGATAGTTTAAGGGCTGCTGTGCCTGTGCAGATGGGAGAACCTCATGGTGGTCTCACTCCTCTCCCTCTGCCAGGAGAAACTGCAGTCTCCTAACACCGCGACTCCAACTTAGGAGCAAGGGCAGGGGGAAGAAGCTGAAAAGGCCTGGCCTTCACTTGACTCAGTTATCCAGATTATTTAAATTATTGGATTGGCCGGTGGAATGGTTAATTTTATATGTCAACTTGGCTAGGCCGCGCTACCCAGTTATTTGCTATGGTTATGCTGCTTCTACAATAAATGACATCAGAGAAAAGTGGTTGAGAGAAAAGTGGCAAGAAGAAATAAAAATATGCTTGGGTTTGAGGATCTAAATGCCCCCATCAGAACACATCAGACTATGTAATATTCTTGTACCACAGAAGTACCGTGTCCAGAGCCTAACACAGAGCTCTTGGTAACTCACTCTGGGAAGCGCATTTTAATAAAGGTAACCGCAAACTGGACTGCCTTGAGAGGAGGTCACTTGGATGGCAAGCAGTTTTGAAATCTCATTTCAGGAGGCATGAGGAGGATCTGGTTGGCCCTGAGAGACTCAGGAGTACAGAGTGCTGCCTTCCAGATGCGGGGAGGTTTGTGGTGGATGTCTGTCTCTCCCATGGTCTCAACACTTCTATGCAGATTTCCGCGGGCTGAATTGTGTCCCTCTCACCCACTGCTCCAAACTTGTATGATGAAGCCCTAACTCCAAGAACCTCAAAATGTGACTATATTTGGAAATAGGGCCTTTGAAAGTTGATTAAATTGTCGACAAAGAGTCAAACTCTATAAAATATTCAAAGAGATGTATTTTGAGCCAAATATGGGTGGCCATGGCCCATGACACAGCCCTCAGGAGATCCTGAGAACATGTGCCTGAGGTGGTTAGGGCACAGCCTGGTTTCATACATACATTTTTGGGAGACATGATACTTCAATCAAGTACATTTAAGATGTACATGGGTTAGGTTCAGAAAGGCAGGATGACTCAAAGTAGGGAGCTTCCAGGTTATAAGTAGATTTAAACATTTTCTGGTTGACAGTTGGTTGAGTTTATCTGAAGACCTGGGATCAATGGAAAGGAAATGTCTGGGTTGAGATAAAGAACTGTGGAGAGAAAAGAGAAAAGTTCCTTTTTTTTTTTTTTTTTTTTTGAGACAAGGTCTCACTCTGTCACCCAGACTGCAGTGCAATGGCATGATCTCGACTCACTGCAACCTCCGCCTCCCAGGTTCCAGCCATTCTCCTGCCTCAGCCTCCCAAGTAGCTGGCATTAAGGCATGCACCACCTCGCCTGGCTAATTTTTTGTATTTTTAGTAGAGATGGGATTTCTCCATGTTGGTCAGGCTGGTCTCGAACTCCCGACCTCAGGTGATCTGTCTGCCTCGGCCTCCCAAAGTGCTGGGATTACAGGCGTGAGCCACCGCACCCGGCACAAAGTTCTTAATGTGCAGAGGAAGCCTTCAGGTAGCAGGCTTCAGAGAGAATAGATTATAAATGTTTTTTATTAGACTCAAAAAGGGTGCCAGACTCTTGATTATCTCCTGGACCTGAAAAAAAGGGAAAAGGGGATTCTCTATAGAATGTAGATTTTTCCCCCACAAGAGACAACTTTGCAGGGCAATTTCAAGATATGGCAAGGAAATACATTTGGGGTTAAAATATTTTGATTTCTTTCCTTATTTGTTATGTAATGTTATGCCAGAGCCAGTTTGGAAAGTAGGCCACATTAGGGTTAAATAAAACCCCTCTGATGAGACTTTACGGTTTGTAGGGCATGACTCCCCAGGCCCCTTAGGTAGAAATTTGGGCAAGAGAAGGAAAAAGGTCAGAGTTTAGTCCTCAGAGGTAAAATAAGCCCATCAGAGCGGACCTTTGTCTAATCTGACTGGTGTCTTCATAAGAAGACGAGATTTGGACACACAGAAGGGCACCAGGGATGCTCCACATGAGGAAAGACCTTGTGAGGACTCACTGAGTAGACGGCCATCTGTAAGCCAAGGAGAGCGGCCTCACAGGCAACAACCTTGATCTTGGACTTTCAGCCTCCAGAACTTTGAGAAAATAAATTGCTGTTGCTAGAGCCACCCAGCCTGTGGTACTTTGTTACGGAGGTCCTGGCAAAAGAATACACAGATGAACTCCCATATCACCGCAGAGCCCACCTTCCATCCCCACAACCCCAGTTCTGAGTTTCCAGCTCTTCGCAAGGGATCTCCCAACCCTTACACCTCCTACTGGATGGAGCAGTGCTCATCTCCTCTTCTCTCTATTGCAAACTTCAGTGCAGGCACTCCACAATCCTGCAGCTGCAATGTGAGCCAGTTTAGCCCCTCTGGACTGTGTGTGGGCAATATACACCAAAATTATTTTAAAATGCACCTAAGACCGTTTGGCCCAGTAGTTTCATGTCTAAAAGTTTTCCCTAAGTGAAGCCATCCTCACAGGGTTAACAATAATTCTGGACAGAAATATAATTATAATTAAGCCTTAATCAGACTGCACTTTGACTCACTTCCTTGAAACCAAAAGTCATGTAACACTAGACACTGACCAGTCATATCCCCATTGTTGCTCTAGGTAGGATTTCTGACATAAGAATCAGCCAAGGCAGGAGGATTGCTTGAAGCCAGGAGTTCGAGACCAGCCTGGGCAACAAAGCAAGATCCCATCTCTACAAAAAAAATTATTAATTAAAAAAATTTTTTTAAAGAATTGCTTAAGCAGATCCTGAATTTTAGTAGAACAGCTGATGACAACTAGTTTAAGACCTCCACAAAGGAACTGTTTTCTCAACTTGATAATACAGCTTCTTCATCTCCTTGTCCCATGACTTCACCCTGCACTCTTCAGCCAGTCACTTTGGCCAACTCCAAAATCTTTAAAATCTCTAGCTCCAAATTATTTGGGGAGATGGATTTGAAGTTCCCTTCCATGTCCTCATTTGGCAGCCCTACGATTAAACCTCTTTCTCTGCTGCAACCAGGTTTCAGCTTACTGACTTTCTGTGCCTGTTGGGCAACAAATCTGTTATGGTTACATAAGGAAGTAATCAAAAGCATATATAGTCAGAGAAAAGAAACCAGAAGGATAACTTATTTGTTCATTACAATGGATACTTATTACTATGTGACAGGCATAATTCTAGGCACTTTTATTACAGTGAATAAAGTATACAGAAGCCCCACCCACTGAGAGCCAGGCAGTAAATCAGCTAACCAAATGAATCATACATTAGGAGGAAATTTTTTTTTTCACATTAAGGTTCTAAGGAGGAAATAAATATTATGGAGGAAAAAATAAAGCAGAAAGGGAGTATGAAGAGCAGTCGATATGGTTCCAGTTTTCAATAGAGCTGTCAAAATAGGCTTGAGAAGGTGAAAACTGGCATCAACTTGCAGGCAGTTAACAGTAAGGTGCCAATAGTTGTTACTGCTGGTTGGTGAAATTATGGGTAATTATATTCTTTTATACTTTTCTGTGCTTTCCAAATGCAGCACAATTAACATATTTGCTTTTACAATTAAAAAAATCCCACAATAAATGTTACTTAAAAAAAAAAACTGACACCTTCAGTTGTTCCCCATTTTCTACAGAATAAAGTCCAACTCGTCCTCCATTGGCCTCTTCCCTTTCATCTAAACTTATCTTTCATTCCTTAACTGTCTTTTCCAGTTGGCCTGATACCCTGTGACCCAGATTTGCCAAACAGGGTTGTCAGATTTAGCAAATAAAAGTACAGGACACCCAGTTAAATATGAACGTCAGATAAACAATGAATAATGCAATATTTGAGACATACTAAAAAACTACTTGTTGTACATCTGAAATTCAAGTTTAACTGAGCATCGTATGTTTTTCCTGACAATGTGACAAGTGATCTTCCTTCCCCTGTGCTGGAATAATCTCTTTTCCATCTTTCCAAATTTTTCCAGCTAATCAGAGGGTGGGGAGGAGGGATGGATGTGGGTGGGAATGAGAGATAAGCCTGCCTATCAACTCCTGTATTTAATATAGGATATTCCTGGGGGCCAGGTGTGGTGGCTTATGCCTGTAATCCCAGCACTTTGGGAGGCCAAGGCGGGTGGATCACCTGAGGTCAGGGGGTTCAAGACCAGCCTGGCCAACATGGTGAAACCTTGTCTCTACTAAAATACAAAAATTAGCTGGATGTGGTGGCGCATGCCTGTAGTCCCAGTTACTCGGGAAGCTGAGGCAGGAGAATCACTTGAACCTGGGAGGCAGAGGTTGCAGTGAGCCGAGATTGCACCACTGCACTCCAGCCTGGTGACAGAGTGAGACTCCTCACCAAAAAAAAAAAAAAAGAAAAAAAAAGATATTCCTGGGGAGTAGATGGGTGGTGGAGGGCGGGGGAACAAGGGTGGGGTATTGTTAAAACATCGTAAAAGGGCTCCTTTTTTGATCTTGAATTATGACTTTCCTATAGATAAAAATTGCACCTTTAATCAGAGAACAATGGCCCAGGTGTCAGGTATAGGTGAAAGTCCAAAGTTCTCTTCAGAAAAGAAACTCTATTTTAGTTATACAGAACATTTATTCAAATCTTCCACTATTTAATTTATGTAAAATATCCTAGTCAATGTTTTTAACCCGAGTGTTTTTAAACATTGCTTTTTAAAAAATAAAAAACTTTTAAAATATTGAACCATTTACGGGGGCTTTAAAAACAGACAGCTTTTGTTCCAAATGAGGATGCCTCTCCTTCCGTTTGTCTGACCTACCCTTTGCCCCCATGGTCCCCTACTCCATTTATTAGCTCCACAGAGACCTGACAGAACCTTAAAGTTGATCCCTGAGTCAGACTGGGCCTGTCTCAAGGTCAGCTCACATCTGAAATCAAGCCTCTGCTGAGTCTGTGGAGTAAAAGGCTGATACTCCCTTCTCTCCTGCAAGACAGCTGTGTGCTCTGGCCCAGAGTGGGCACAGAACTGCTGGGCCCAGGCTGTCAGAAACTTCTGGGCTGGCATCCAGCTGCTCCAATGCACAAAGCCAGCTAACGCAGGCCAACCATGCCAGTGAGTCCACATTACAGAAGGACGGGAAGCAGTGGGATGCGGTACCCAGGGGTAGCAGTCTAATCCCTCCCAAAGCCAAATTCTAGAAAAATTTTCCAAATTTAAAAAATGGAAAAGGGAAAAATGGAAAATGGAAAAAATTTTAAATTTAATTTTCCAAATTTAAAAAATGGTAAAAGCTCTTACCCATGGCCATAGTTTTTCATCTTGACATCCTCAGCACTTACCATGGTACCTGGCACAAAACAGCTAATTTTTCAGTTGCCATACTGAACAGCCATTTTATACAGGCTCTCTATATTCCAATGACAACAATCTTTAGGCAACATTGTTAAGTGACAGAACAGTGTTTAGTATGCAAAACTTTGCTTAATAAAGGGGAGAAATACCAATATATATAGTTGTATTTAACTTCTATTTACATAAAGAAACATTGAAAGGATACGCAGAAAACTAATAAAAGTGTGTACCGGTGGGCCAGGGACGGGGGTAGTGGTAGGTGGAATGAATGAAGAAGGGCAAGGTGGTCACAGTCCTACTTAATCTATACCTTTTAATATATTATTTTTTGAGCCAAGTGTATGTATAACCCTTTAAGTTACATAGTTAAAATCATCTATTTTTGGTTATATAATTTTGTAGTAGCAAAAAACTCAACTGAAAAATAGGAAGCTATTCTCTCCATTTCTCTCTGTGGTCACATAGCCGCTCACGTTTAATTCTTTCTAAGCTCACAGATTGACCAACACAGCCACCATACTTGAGTTTCCATGACTTTATAATTCTAGTGCCCATCACTGTCTCAATCTAGATTTCCTTTTCCCCAAAAAAAATCTGCTACGTCACTTGCTATAATTTCTAGCTCTCTGCCAAATGTTTCACACATAGCTTTTATCCTTTTGAAGATAGCATATACATTGTTATATAGTCTATGCCCAATAACCCCAGAGTCTGGAAGCCCCATGGGTCTGATTCTGTTGTCTGTTTTTATTTTTGTTTTTTTTTCTTTTCTTTTCTTTTTGAGACAAGGTCTGGCTCTACGGCCCAGGCTGGAGTACAGTGGCATGATCTCAGCTCTTTGCAACCTCTGCTTCCCAAGCGCAAGCCGTCCATCCACTTCAGCCACCCTAGTAGCTGGGACTACAGGTGTGCACCACCACACCCAACTGACTTTTGCATTTTTTGTAGAAACGGAGTTTCACCATGTTGTGCAGGCTGGTCTTGAACTCTTGAGCTCAAGTAATTCCCCAGCCTCAGCCTCCCAAAGTGCTGGTATGGCAAGCATGAGCCACTGCACCTGGCCTGTTTCTGCTTTTCTTGTGGCAATCTCGCCTCTCTGGGGCTTGATTATTTTTGCTTGTTTGCTAGATGCATTTGAGGCCTAGGATGCTATTATCTTCTTCCCAGAATGATTGTTTTTGACACTAGCAGTTTAGAGTCACTTTGAACAAGTTCAATGGTTACTTGAGATTCTCTGGGCTGGGACACCATTTCTACTCCCTTTAAGCCTTTAAAGGCTGCCAAAAATGCAGCTTGGATTCTTAAACTCTCTTCAGCAAATGCTCCCAGAACAGAAGCGACCCCAGTTGCAGGCTCACCTCCATGTTCCTTTCCTTTCCCAAATTTTGGCCCAGCAATTCCTCACTAACCTTTGAATATTTAAGTAAGATACTTAAAAATATTTTACCCAGCATTTTTAGTTGTCTTCAAATGGAGGCTTGGTCTGAATTACTCAGTCCATTAATGGAAGCAGAAGCCCTTCTGATGCAGGCCTTAGTTTTTCAGTAGTTTGCTCTTCTCTGGGCCTTAGCTTTCAGAAAGATTCTCTTGTCTGTAGTAGTAAAGTCTGTATAAAGTCTGCATGGACTTTTCTTGCGTACACACATTGCCGCATCACCTCCAGTCAAGGCTGGAAGAGAATCTTGCATTTTACACATCTAATATTTCAGAAGAGCTGGAGTCACAGCAGTCCTCTTCACTGAGCTCAGAAACAAAAACCCTGCTTGTGCATATATTCAGGCTGGGACCTCTAAAATGCAGACACCTAAGTGCTCCAGCTTTGAGAATTCTAGCTTCAGTGTGACAACGGCATAAGGAGTTGCCCTACGGTGTAAAGGCCCCTGTGAGGTCTCAGTTTGCAGACCAGGATGTGACAAGGAGATTGGAGCTGCAGTCAGCTCTAGAGGCTGAAAGAGGAGCCAAACAGCAAACAGAGGTGCCAAATGCTGCCTTAGAAATCTGTAAGCCAGCTAAGAGTTCTGCAGTCTCAACTAAACAAAACTTTTTTATTCCATTGGTTTGGGGTGTACTGTTCTTAGGGCTTTTGCCAACTGAATTGGTCTGTGGTGTCTTGAAAGATTGGGGTTCTGCACGGAAAAGGCTCGGAGGCCAGTTCTCTGAGGCTGCCTTTGTTGCAAGAAATAAAATGAATCTTTCCAGAGCCACAGCACTAGCATTTGGAGACCACTCTCAGGGGCTTTGGGGCGTACGACTTTCGGGGCTCTGGTCCTCTGTTTCCCTATCCGTAGAATGGAGACGGCTACTCTGTGAGAAGCCCGAGGTGCGCAGGACCCAAGTGAGGAGCCGGCAACCTGAAGTCCTCAGGATGGGGAGGGATCCGAAGGAGGCGGTGTGAAGACTCAAGAGGACCGCCTTGGGGTGGGAAGAGGACAGCCCGGCACTGGCTGCTGGCCCAGGTGCTGTGATGGGTTTCGTGCGCAGAGAGGCCTGACAGCCTCTGCATCAGTGACCGGGCGAAGAGTGGGGCAGCTCGGACGGCGGTTGGGGAACGTTAGGGAGATTGGCGCGCGGACCACTGGGTGAGCGCCCAGGAACGCCGGACGCGCGCCTTCACGCCCGGGTGCCTGGCGGCGTTTTAGAAAAGCTGTATTTGAAAAGCAACCGACTGGGGTGAAGGCGGGGGAGCGGAATCCTGATTACACTGTCCCAATTTCAGTTGAGGTGGGCTTTTAAAAGAAATCCCAATTCACACATTCGATCAGGTTAGTTACAAGAAAGGCTGGGAGGAGGTGGGGCTGGAAACACCAGAGGGCCCAGATGTCCGTTGGCGACGGTCTTCTGCAAACGACAGAGCGCAAGCCTTGCCCCTGGAATTCTAGAGCCGCCGCAAAGATAGGAACTCAAAACGACCCGAGCCCCGGAGCCGCAGCCCCTCGGGACGGTCACGAGCAGAGCTCCCAAGGGGACCGCTGGGGACTGGGCGGGGGCTCTGCTTCTCACCTGTTCCTTCTCTATCCACTGAGCCCTGACACGTAGGACCAGCGCTACTAACAGACTTGTTTTCCGGTTCAGCTCCCCTTAGGGCTCCTGTTGGAAACCGACCCTATCTGGGGAGCCTGTCTGGGCCACTCCCATTGCCGGAGAACTCTCCTGGGGCGGGGAGATGGCCCAGGTTTGTGGGGCTTGAAAGCTTACACAGTGTTGTGTCTTTTCAAGAAAAAGGATACAGCCGGGCACGGTGGCTCACGCCTGTAATCCCGGTACTTTGGGTGGCCGAGGTGGGTGGATCACGAGGTCAGGAGATCGAGACCATCCTGGCCAACATGGTGAAACCTCGTCTCTACTAAAAATACAAAAAATTAGCTGGGCATAGTGAGTGGCATGTGCCTGTAATCCCAGCTACTCGGGCGGCTGAGCCAGGAGAATCTCTTGAACCAGGGAGGCGGAGGTTGCAGTGAGGCAGTGAGCCAAGATCGTTGCCACTACACTCAGGTCTGGCGACAGAGCAACACTCCGTCTCAAAATAAAAAAATTAAAAAAAAAAGGAAAGAAAGAAAAGAAAAAGGATACAGAATTTGACAAAATTAAGAATAAAAGCAAATATGACTTACAATGAGGAAAAACAATGACAGCAAATGATAAATGTTTAAAAACTGACATATCACAAACATCAAAAAATCCCCCCAAAATTCTAATAACTGCTTGAACCACCCCTATATTTTCCCATTTATATTTTTTGATTCCCTCTTCATTCGACAACACTTTTGTAATGTATTTTCCTGGGTGAGAATGAATAATTTGGTATTTCGTCTAGCATAGTTAAGCAAAAAAAGTTTTTATTGAAAGTTTAGAAAAGTTAATATCCATTTCACAATCGTTATTGGTAATAATATGCAAATTTTTAGTGCTATTAATTTTGGAGAAGCCTCTGTGAAGAGTTTCCTATGTAAGCCTGAGATTTCAGGGCATTTCAAGTTTTCTTGGGCAGTGACTAATCTTAAATACTCTTTTAAGTTGCTGAAAGTCATTGGCCTGTTTTTCGTTAAGTCCTTGTTGTGAAGGTGTAGTATGAAACTGTTTGTAGATGTCAATATTTTATGCCAAAACAACAATTTTTTTAAGTTTTAATGTGTTTATGTGGTTAATTCTTCATCAAGTGATTGTCAAACAATCTAGGCATCTATTCTATTTAAAATGTATCCCTTCCCTTCAATAAATTGCTGGTTTTGGCTGGAACCAAACTTTTTTTCTTCTTCAATTCCTTTTCTGATGTCAGAATAACTTCTATTAATTTCATGTGCAAATATGCAAGAGATCATTTTATTTCATGATGTATGTATAATTGTATATGCATATTTAATAAGTATATTCCTAAAGAAGAGAGCTTCCATTTTGACTAGACTTTGATGAGACTGAGTAATACGCTTATAATTTTCTACATCTAGGGGTTAAAAGGATTTATTGGCTTCACTGTCCACAGACTTCTGGTGCCTCATGTCACAGCACACAATCTTATTGTGACAGATCTCTGACCTTTCACTTTAGTCTCTGATGTCAGGTGAGTTATCTCAGTGGGTGGTGGTTCCTGTAAGCCACTTCTACACTGAGACGGGTAGCAATAACTTGACTATACATGAAAGTGCTTATGAACCACATATCCTAGTAATCTCAAACAATGTAATCCCAACTTAATTTCCCCTTAGCTAGAACCCCCACATGCTACCTGATACAAGAGAAACTGTGACAGAGGGAAGTTGACGTGGAAGGAGACAGTAATCCTAACCGTGGTTAAAATATGTTACTTTTGCAAATTTTACAAAACACTTAGCATGACCATATTGAACACATTGCTTGGAATTCCAGGGTCTTGGAAAGAACCAGTGCAAGGGATGAACTTAATGGCAGAGCTTCCTCTGCACACTTCACGACTGCAACAGGCTTGTCCCTGAAGTCTCTCCGCTGGGGTCCCACTTCAGGCTGACGTACTGTCTGTGTCACCGAACATCACTCTCTGCATTTGCTTACCCTTTTTGATTCTTCCCTGTGCCTCAGTTTGGAGTTGGAAGCTCATAAATTCCCCTATTATAGGGAAGTGGCTGATTGTGTAACCCTATCCTTTTGTTGAAATAGGTGTGTCCAGTTAAGTATTTACTGTAAGCCAGCCCCTCATACGCATTCCACTGGGGGTGGATTCATTGCTTTCTACAACCTCGCCATATGTAATGTCCACACTGGTCCATCTGGCTGTGCTTCTCAAGAGCAGCTGTTTTGTAGGACTTGAAATAAGGATTCCTTAACAACCTGGTGAATGCCTAATAGCCTCAATACATTTCAGGCTGTTTTAGTTTTGTTTATTTGGTTTTCGTGTTTTGTGGTGAGAACACTTAAAATCTACTCTCTCAGCAATTTTCAAGAACACAGTGTACCATTACTAACAAATCACCAGAAGGTACAACAGATCTCTTGAAGTATTCCTCCTTGAAGTAACTGAAACTTTGTATCCTTTGACCAACCCATCCCCATGCCCACCACGCCCAGACTTTGGTAACCACCATTGTATTAATACTGTCTGCTTCTACCAGTTAACTTTTTTACACTCTGAGTATAAGTGAGGTCATGCTGTATTGGAGGTTGTTTCCTCCACGCGACTGGGTGGAATTCAGAGGTTTCTACCAATAACTCATTTCTTTCACCAGCAGCTCCCAAGGGCTCTGCTGAGTCCCCCATGCCTCCTAAATCTGAGATCTTGAACCCCTGCTCCTCCCCAACCCTGTTTTTCTGAGAACTGCCTCATCAAACATAGAGCATAGCAACTTTCCTGAGATTTCTCTAAATTTCCTCTTATTCAGGTCACTGTGCATGACAGATTGACTGCTTGATTCCTGGAAGTCTAGGGATAAAAAGTATTGAGTGCTGGTCTAAAGGACAGGTTTCAGCAGAGGACACAATCTCAGGGCAGACAACTTAAGTTTCAGTATTAGGCATTTCCGTTCTTAAACATTCCTTCACTATTTCTGCCCAAGACATTTCTCACTGGTAAACTTTCCTTGTTGGTTACCTGCCTTCTGCAGCCCTGCAGGCTCTGTCTCTCTCCTGGGCCACCCCTCTTCCTCTTACACAGTTTTATGCTCCCCTTCCCTTCTCTTTCCTTCCATCTTCAGTCTACATATTTCACGGCTAGCTTTCCACAGCCAGATGTTTCTTGCCCTGAGGAATTATGCTATCAGTTTTTAAGCCACCGTTTAAAAGACGGTTGCCAGTGCCCTAGAGTCTTGGCAACAATGCTCCACCTTCCGGAGGTGAAGCGAAATGGTGTCCTGTCTTGAAAGACAGCGCCACCTACTGTCCATCAAGAGACAGCTGCCGAAAACAGCTGAATGACCCTGTTCATTGCCTGTTCTGGGGAGGGTGGCAGATAATCCAGGCAAGAATAATTCGAAGGTACATTGAACTTGAGGTGGTGATGGAACACTTAAGAATGCACAGAAGTTTAAACTCAATAGGGATAGTAATACCAAGCTGGCATCGGGCCTCAGGGAGGTTACAGGATCTGCATAGTGCTAACAACTGTGCATCGGTAGAATGGGAATCTGAATCCGGACACTCCGCCTGTGAAGTCCACGTAGCTCCACCTCGCTGCACTAAGATAGAGTAGATCTCCTTTTATGGATGATCAAATAAGTGAGAGGGAACCCAGGAGCCAGTGGAGAGGAGAATTTTAAGGAGGGGACTGCTGATGATCTAAAGTTTGAGTCATCAGTTTGGATGTGAACTGAGAAAATACCGCTGGGATTTGAGTTTAGGACTTAGTTGGAGACCCTTAGAGAGTGGTTTAGGGTGCCCAGCCCTGGGATAGGCATAGGAGAGTATGGAAAGACAGAAAGACATAGTCCTATCCCTCATGAAGCTAAATGTGAGCCAAAGCCAGGGAAGTTGGCAAAAATCAAATGGTAATAAATGAGACGGTGATTTAGGAAAGAGAGATCCATGTAGAACCTGCAGGCCCCTCTGACACCTTTGTGAAAATTAGGATGGATCAGTTCACTTTCTTGGGGCCATTGCTGCCCTGAGCCAGAGCCCACAGCTTGGCAAGCAACCTCTGGGCTAGGTCTCAGCCCCCATTCATCAGAATGAAGACTGACTTGTTAGGAAAGTTTCATTCAGGAAACTGGGACTTGAGCTGGGCTTCCACTGATGTGAAGGGTTTGGAGCAGCTGTGTGAAAGAGGTAGGAGTTAGGTCTTCCCTGCTGGGAAATGTCAAAACAGAGGCAATTAAGAGTCATAAAGGAGAGGGAAAAGACAAAAATCACCTGACTCTTGGCTCCAGTATTTTTAAAGCAGGAGAAATTAGATAAGATCACTCCTTTAAAACAGTTACTGAGCATCTAATATATTCAAGGAGCTATGCCGAATAGGCTGACTCAGGGAAATAAGGACCCTGACAGTTGCGCATTAGTTTGTAGTTTATGAAGCACATCCATTTCCAGCTATGACATTTTGTCCACTTTCTTGTAAAGGAGGCTGAAGTTGTGGCTGCCCCTGAACATGAAGCTACAAATCTCCACGATTAGGACCATAATCCAGATTCTTTGACTAGTCCAGAATTCCTTTCATTCTGACCATCCTCTTCTTAAACATTTTAAAATTTAGGTAATTGTTTAGATAGATGGCACATTTGCTGGCTCAAAATTTTAAAAACACAGGAAAAAGTCTCCCTCTTGCCCCTGGTTTCCACACATCTAGTTTCTCTCTCCAGAAGCAAATTTTACTAGTTCATTGATATATTCTTCCAGAGATGTTCTTTGCATAAAAAGCAAATAAGAATGTATTTATTCTTCCCCGATTTGTGCAAATAATAGCATATTATACACACTGTTCTGTACCTTGCTTTTAAATTTAATTTATTTTTATTTTTTTAAATCAGTAATCTATGTGTCCAAAGCATAAACCAGGCATGGGCATAGACCAGAAGCCAAGCTGGGATAAACAGGGGGTTGCTTTGTTCCTGTCTGATGTGAGATGGGCACCATTAAGCTTTTTTTTTTTTTTTTTTTCGAGACAGAGTCTGGCTCTGTCATCCAGGCTGGAGTACAGTGGCGCAATCTCGGCTCACTGCAAGCTCCACCTCCCGGGTTCACGCCATTCTCCTACTTCAGCCTCCCGAGTAGCTGGGACTACAGGCACCCGCCACCATGCCCGGCTAATGAGACAGGGTTTCACCATGTTAGCCAGGATGGTCTCGATCTCCTGACCTCGTGATCCACCTGTCTCGGCCTCCCAAAGTGTTGGGATTACAGGCGTGAGCCACCATGCCTGGCCAAGCTTTTTTTTTTTTAATGTATCAATTTATGTTGGAGATTATTCCAATAGCAAAAGTTCCCTTCCACACCCCACCCCCTACTAATGGCTGCACAATGTTCTATTGTATGAATGTAGCTAGTTTATTTAGCTTAACTTCCGTTGATGAACATTTGTTTTTTTTCTAAAATTTGAAGCAAATGTTTCTAAAACATTGATGCAATAGGTATATGCATATATTATTTCACATATGCATGAATATATATGTAAAATTTCTAACATCAGAGTTGCTGGCTCAAAGAGAATGTACATTTGTAATCTTGGAGGAAATTCTCAAATTCCTACTCCTCTAAAGGAGGAGTACTAATTGGCATTCCCATCAGCAGTGTATGGGAGTGCCAATTTCCTCACACACTTACCAACACTGTGTTACCAAATGTTTGGATTTCTGTCAATCTGATAGGAAAAATAGTATGTCAGTGTTATTTTAATTTGTATTTTCTTCATGAGATTGAGATTATCTTTTAATATGCTTTAGAGACATTTGGTATTTCTTTTTCTATGAAATGTCTGCTGAGATACCTCTGCCCAATTTTCTTCTTGGTAGTTGATAAATTCTTATTTGCAAGAGCTGTATATAAAAGGTAATTAGCCCTTTGATTTTGATGGCAGTTGTAAATATTTTTCTTCTTCCAATGGTATTTCGTCATTTGTCTCTTGACATTGCACTTACGGTTTTTTTTCCCCCATGCAGGTCTTTTTTAATGTGGCTGAATTTATCTTTCTTTCCTTTTATGGTTTCTACATTTGAAACATTCTCAAGCTACTGCTAGTTAAATACAGTGGATTTCTGCCTTCAAGTTGCTCAATAAACCAGTAGGAAAATCAAGAAAAGTACCTAAGTAACTAGTAGAAGTTACTATATAGTCAGTACTATAAGTTGGTACAAAGTGCTGTTTCTTCATCTGTCTATCCATACATCTAATTATCAATCTATCTGTCCATCTGTCCATTAATCCATCCATTTATCAAGCTTTTACTGAATCCTTTCTAAGAGCAAAAAAAGGTATATATAGAGAGATGACATTTTATGGTAATGAAGCCCATGGGCTGCGATAAGAGACACCCAGATCTGAATCCCAGCTCTATGTTTACACCACTGTGGCCTTGGGCAGGTTACTTAATCTGTCCACATTTTTGTTTCTTATACTATTTCATGAGATACGACAGGAACGTAGATTGTGGAGGGGTCAAGGATTGAAGGTTAAAAAACAGACATTGTCGGAAATGCCTTAGGAAGAGAACTATAAGTGAGTACAATGCCTACATTTATAATTTCAGGTGGTGAAATCTGAATCCTGACAAGGTCAAGAGAGTGGCCACTAGGGTGGGTGGCAAAAGCAAAGGTCATTGGATGTGAGCAGGACAAGAACTGAAAGGCCTTGGTGTTAAATGATCATGTACGTAGTCTTTGAAATCACCAGGATCATGGTAATTTCACAGCCAGATGAAGGGCAAGTTCTGGGAGGATCCTGAGCACAGGAGCTTCTGTCCCCGGTGGAGTGTGGGATGTGCCACCCTCCCAGCATGTGGATGCACTCACCAACCTGGAATCTCTCCAAACCTCTTTGTTCAGGATCTTACAGAGGTTCCATTATTTAGGTATGATTGATCAAATCACTGGCTGTTGGTGATTAACTCAGTCCCTGGGCTCCTCTCCCCTCCCCAGAGGTCAGAGGTGAGACTGAAAGTTCCAACCAGCCAGGCGTGGTGGTTCACGCCTGTAATCCCAGCATTTTGGGAGGCCAAGGCAGGCAGGTAACCTGAGGTCAGGAGTTCGAGACCAGCCTGGCCAACATGGTGAAACCCCGTCTCTACTAAAAATACAAAATATTAGCTGGGCATGGTGGTGTGCACCTGTAATCCCAGCTACTCGGGAGGCTGAGGCAGGAGATTCGCTGGAACCTGGGAGGCAGAGGTTGCAGTGAGCTGAGATAGTGCCGTTGCACTCCAGCTTGGGCAACAAGAGTGAAACTCTGTCTCAAAAAAAAAAAAAAGAAAGAAAGAAAGAAAGAAAGATCCCACCCTCTAATCACATGGTTCTTCTGCCAACCAGCCCCCATTCTTCCTCCAAGAGTCACCTCATTAGCATAAACCCTGGTATGGTTGAAAAGGGCTTATTATGAATAATAAAAGATACACTCATCAGAACATAACCATGTGGTAAGTTGAGGTGCATCAGGAATTAAGATGATTCAACTTAAAATTTTTGACTTTATGATGGGTTTACTGGGGTATTGAGTACACTTTCACCTTACAATATTTCTGACTTCAGTGAATTCACTGGGACGTAACCCCATCATAAGTTAAGGATCATCTTTTCAAGGGTTTTAGGAGCTCTGTGCCAAGACTAATTATATATATATCTCACAAGATCACACAGCCCACAGCAAACAGTGGCAAAGTGGGATTGAGGGAGGAGGCTCTGAAATGAGGTTTTCAACAAGCGTCTTGGACCCTTAGAAGTTTCAAGTGACAGCCCTTATTAGTGGCACCCCTTAGGGGCTCCCTCAAACTCAATGCCAAGACTAGCCTGACTGGAGGGAACTTAGACAATGGGGTGGGCATTTGATGTTCCAGCATCTTGAGTGGGTGCCATTATTCTGTGACACCTGGATCCTGGGGTTCCATAAGCTGGGGTTCTAGGATGTCCATTCTTAGTTGAGTCTCATTTCCTGTCATATCGACGTCAAAGGCCCAAGACCTTCCTCCTCCCCTTGAGCAAACAAGCCATGCCCTGCACCAAAGTCCATCTCACCTTCCAGCTACCCTAGGTAATTTTCCTGGTAATTCAGTGTTTCTAGGAAAGCATGAGTCTTTCCACCCCCTGCCCTGAGATTTACTGACATATGAACACATATGATTGGCATGATATAAGAACCACTCGTCTGCTGGCCATCTCTCCAGGTCTGGAGCCAGAGAAGATGATCTGAAATTGTAGCAGGAGAAATTGAGGTAGGATACTAAGAAAGCTTTTCAGGAGTGGGGCTAGGCAAGAGGTGCAGCATGAGGGAATAAGAGTGAATCCTCAGTATCTAAGGGAGGTGGCAGGTGGCGGGGGACTTCTTTCTTTGGGTCATCTTTGGTGGTGATTTGACAGGAAGGAACAAAGTGGCTTCAAACATTATACAAGTCTCTAGTCTGTTCTGTGTCCTGTTTTCTTTCTCATTCTTTCAGTGTGGAATCTATATGACCCTGGGAGGGATGTTGGTTGGAAGAATGACCAGCTGATGGAGATGCTGCTGTAATTATTGGTGGTAATAATGGGCAGCAGTGAGCCACCCGGTGTGACAGTGTAGGAGAAAACAGTCCAAACTCCTGCCAAACTCTCTCTACTGATGGCAAATCAGAGGAGACTCAAATTGTAAGTTTATAGTGGTCTGGCTTTTGGCCATGACAATGACACCTTGCCCTTTTAATTTGGGGCCCGTGCAAATATTCACTGAAAGCTGTCAAGAGGAAAACAGAGTTGGTTATTGAATCACTTGCTTCCTCTAGGTGTATGAAAAATAATTTCAAGTTTAACAAACACAAGGAAACCGCAGGGTCCATGTCAAAGCTGATGAGCTATTTCTGAAACTCGTGCAGAATTGTGGTTTGTGTGGTCTATGTCACGGCACCCTTGAGGGAGAGTGGGCAATTGCCTGAACTTGGAGGCTGTGTCCTGTCCCCAGGCTGCTCCAGGGCTGCCTCCTTCCGACTGGGCCTTCTTATCTGGGACTGTTGAGGGCAACAGGCCTTCCGAAGACCAGTGAAGAAGGAGGCCCTGCAGACAGGAGGCTGACAGGGTAGGAACAAGGCCATGATCCCTTTGCAGAAGGACAACCAGGAGGAGGGTGTCTGCCCCATCTGCCAGGAGAGCCTGAAGGAGGCCGTGAGCACCAACTGCGGACATCTCTTCTGTCGAGTGTGCCTGACACAGCATGTGGAGAAGGCCTCAGCCTCTGGGGTCTTCTGCTGCCCCCTCTGCCGGAAGCCCTGTTCTGAGGAGGTGCTAGGGACAGGCTATATCTGCCCCAACCACCAGAAGAGGGTGTGCAGGTTCTGTGAGGAGAGCAGACTTCTTCTATGTGTGGAATGCTTGGTGTCCCCTGAACACATGTCTCATCATGAACTGACCATTGAAAATGCCCTCAGCCACTACAAGGTAAGCCTGGGTCACCGCAGCCAGGCCCTGCCTCCACCTCGCTGAGGTGCTGCATCCTACATGTTCATCATGCCTGGCACCTCAGAGTAGCTCAACAATGGACATCTCTCTTTGTTTCTTCTGCTTCATCCTGTTTTGGACCCTTGTCTTGCTTTTCTGTGTATATTTTGAGGCTGATGTTTCCATGCATCAATGTGAGTCTGTCTAAAAGAGGATATTGTCAGTGTGATGTCAGAGTCCCAGTCTGCTCATCTGTAGAATAGAGTAATTGGACTAACTAATGCAAAACCCTTTCAGGACTAAAACTGTGTGAACTCCTGGTTGATAGTACTAGAAACTTGGCTAGAAATGTAATCAGGTTTTATATACACTAGTAATTATCCTGAAAATATATTAAAACCTGAAAGTTACTACATAATTTTTTCTCTCTTTTTCTTCCTTCTGCATTTGTCTTATCTTTCCTTTTCCTTTCTTTGCTATGGCAATTATTTTATCTTATTCTGTTAAATTTTCTATCACAAAAGTTACATGCTGTAGGTAATAAATTCAGAAAGCACTGAAAGGTATAAAGTCAAGACTAAAAACTTGTCTTCCTTTCTCCCTCCATTCATAGTCCTCAGAGGTAACCATTGTTTGATTTTTGTACATCCTTCCAAAAAATGTGTGTGCTTATGAATGCACTCTTACACACACCCACACACACCCTCAAAGGATTCTCTCTATATTTTTTTCTGTAACTCATTTTTGTTATCTAAAAGTGTGGCTTGAACATTTTCTCATCAGCATGTATAGATCTTCTGAATTATTTTCAAGAACTGTGTGGTATTAAATTCTATGAATGTACCATAAATTGGCAGACTTTGGGTCATTTCCAAGCTATTGTTTTGTTTTAAGATTACACAGAATGTTCTAATGAATATCCTTCAACATATATATTGGAGGACCTAGAATATCCAAGATATATTTTGGTGAGAGCATAAGGTAGAAATCTAACTTTAGTTTTTCCAAGTTATAATCAATTTGTCCTATCACCATTTATTGAATGATTCATATAGTTTCCCCATTGATTTGAATGCCAATGTCATAATATACCATATATGCATATTTTCTTGCATACTGCCTTGATTCTTTATGCTGTTCTATTCTGTCTATGCTTGCCTATAAGCCAAGGTATTTTAGAGATTTTATCCTTACCATATATTTTAATGTCAGGTATTTTGATAGAATCCTCACAATACTCTTATTTTTCAGAATTCGTGCAGATATTTGTATATCTTTATTTTGCCAATTAGCTTTGGAATTATTTTTATCAACCTTTCCCCTGACCCCAATCCAGTTAGTATTTGACTGGACAATTGACAATATTTTCACATGGCATCCTTCTATCCAATAGTGAAGGCTGAACTTCCAAAGCTGAGGTAGCTTTGAGATACTTGACTTTTGGAGAACATGTTATGATACAGAATGAGAAAGTGGGGAGTCCAGATTAAAAGTGACTACAGAAAGGTAGAGAAATAATTGAAAAAGCCAGAGGCAAAGTTCTATTTGGTTCTAACATCATTCCCTCCAGGTGCAATGTCCACAGGAGAGTGGGGAGGGATTCCTCACCTGCCGATGAAGCAGCATAAGATGGAGAAATTTATTTCCTCACTAAATGATTTTTTCAGGTCTGTCCTTTGTGTTAGATGTCATGCTAGGCATTGTAGAAAGTACAAAGATGATTCATAATTCTTGTTTCAAATCTGTCTTTAAATAATGACAAGAAAGCTAAAACAAATAAATAACGATGACACTTGTTCATTAAGTAAACCTTAGTAAGTTCCTGCTGTGTGTGAGAAACTGCAGCATGTGCTAGGAATCAATGAAGACAGATGCCATTCCTTCTGCCAGGAGTTTGCAGTGTAGTAAGGGAGACACAAATAAGTAATCAAAGAACTGTAACTTTTTTTTTCTTTTTTCTTTTTTTTTTTTTGAGATGGAGTCTCACTCTGTCACCCAAGCTGGAGAGCAGTGGCATGATCTCGGCTCACTGCAACCTCCGTCTCCCAGGTTCAAGCAATTCTTTGCCTCAGCCTCCCGAGTAGCTGGGATTACAGGCACCCACCACCAGGCCTAGCTAATTTTTGTATTTTTAGTAGAAACGGGGTTTCACCATCTTGGCCAGGCTGGTCTTGAACTCCTGACCTCATGATCCATCTGCGCTGGCCTCCCAAAAGAACTGTAACTTTTTATTAGTTAGGAAGAAAATAAACAAGGGTCTGGGATGAACAGTAATGGGTGGCCCATGTCCATTTGGTCAGTGAGGGCCTCATAGAGGAAGTGACCTTGAAGCTGAGGGCTGGCAGAAGAGAAATCAACCTGCAAAGACAGGGGGTAGGGAGTGCATACAGATGCCCACACCTGAGAAGTCTTGTTATATTTGAAGAATTTATCATTAGAGTTTGAATCGACAGGACTTACTGAGAGATTAGAAGTGGGTTCTTTGTAAGAAAAAAACAACCCCATCAAAAAGTGGGCAAAGGATATGAACAGACGCTTCTCAAAAGAAGACATTTATGCAACCAACAGACATATGAAAAAATGCTCATCATCACTGGTCTTTAGAGAAATGCAAATCAAAACCACAATGAGATACCATCTCTGCCAGTTAGAATGGCAATCATTAAAAAGTCAGTAAACAACAGATTCTGGAGACGAAGTGGAGAAATAGGAACGCTTTTACACTGTTGGTGGGAGTGTAAATTAGTTCAACCATTGTGGAAGACAGTGTGGTGATTCCTCAAGGATCTAAAACCAGAAATACCATTTGACCCAGCAATCCCATTACTGGGTATATACCCAAAGGATTATAAATCATTCTACTATAAAGACACATGCACACGTATGTTTATTGTGGCATGGTTCACAATAGCAAAGACTTGGAACCAACCCAAATGCCCATCAATGATAGACTGGATAAAGAAAATATGGCACATATACACCATGGAATACTATGCAGCCATAAAAACAGATGAGTTCACGTCCTTTACAGGGACGTGGATGAAGATGGAAACCATCATTCTCAGCAAACTAACACAAGATCAGAAAACCAAACACCACATGTTCTCACTCGTAAGTGAGAGTTGAACAATGAGAACACGTGGACACAGGGAGGGGAATATCACACACCGGGGCCTGTGAGGGGATGGGGGGTAGGGGAGGGATAGCATTAGGAGAAATACCTAACGTGGATGACGGTTTGATGGGTGCAGCAAACCACCATGGCACGTGTATACCTATGTAACAAACCTGCATGTTCTGTACATGTGCCCCAGAACTTAAAGTATATATATTTTAAAAAGTGGGTTGAAGGAAGGAGGAAGGTCAAAGATGACTTCATGAGTTTCTGGTTTGAGAAACTGAATAGATGATGTGAAAGATAATAACTTGGTAGAACAGGTTTGAATGCAACACCAAGAGTTTCATTTAAGACAAGTTGAGTCCAAGTTGAGACACATCAAAATAGGATCTTACATATGCAGCTGGATCACAAATTTAGATCTCCAGAGTCTTATTCCTAGAACCTAGAACAAAGATCCATCCAGACAAAGACAATATTTAAATCCAAGAAAAGCGGGCACGGTGGCTCACACCTGTAGTCCCAGCACTTTGGGAGGCCAAAGTGGGAGGATCGCTTGAGCCCAGGAGTTCAAGACCAGCTTAGGCAACACAGTGAGATACTATCTCTAGAACAACAACAGCAACAACAAAGTGAAATTAACAGGATTTAAAAAAAAGAACGTGACAATTTGGGGCTGGGTGCAGTGGCTCACGCCTGTGGTCCCAGCTACTTGGAAGGTTGAGGTGGGAGGATTGCTTGAGCCCAAGAGAGTGAGGCTGGAGTGAGCTGTGATTGTACCACTGCACTGCAGCCAGGAAGACAGAGCAAGACCCTGTCTCAAACAAAGAAACAAACAACCAAGAAACCAAGGAAACTGATGTAATTGCCTCAAAAGAGGCTAGACAGAAAAGAAGTTTTGGGGTAAGGTTCTGGGAAAGGCCGTCATTTAGATGTAGGCAGAGGAGGACCCAGCAAAGGAGACAGGATGAGTTGCCAGAAAGGCAGGAGAAAAACAAGGGGAATGGTGCCCCAGCTGCTAAGAGAGAAGGGTATTTTAAGAGATTATAATAGATTGCATTGAACAATGCTAACACTTCAGTAAGATGGTGGCAGAGGCATGAGAGCTGAGTTGGGAGGAGGCACATTTCTTCCATAGTAATAACAGGGAACAAGAGAAGGTGTCTGCAAGCCTACATAGTTTTGCAGTTTTGGAAGTCCAGGTTTTGTTCTGGTTTTTATTTTCTCATAATATTTGAGGAAGGAACATCAGCAGTATGGGTGGGATCAGGATGGATGTGAAAGGTTTGAAAAGAAACAAGATGGTGTGATGCAGTGTGGGAGAGCGCTTACAAGAGAAACTATGTAGGGTTGGCAGACAGTATGTAGCACCAATTTGAGGTCTGAAATGTTTAACATGTTTCAGGAGGCTGCCTGAGGACAGACAGCAAACAAGAAGGTGATGGTACATTTTACCATGGATAAGGAGTTGTCTGAAAAGTAACACAGAGAGGGAGGGTAAGGGAGTTGAGTATATTTCTGAAGAAGTGATTATAATGGTGGACCCTATGTGTACTCATGGATATTGACAGCGTACTTTTGAAATTAAGGAGGGTTTTTTTTTTACTGATTTTTTCACCATATCTCTATTTATTTGAATTAAACTTTGTAGTTAAGTATTGTAAATTTTGTTCTTTTAAAAGAATCATATAATCCCTGACTGTACTCTAAAAAGACCGAAAAATTTATAAAATCTACAAATTCTTATTTGTATACCTGTTTCCTCACTGACCAATCAATGTCAGTGTCAATCACTTTAATGTATTTTGCTGGTTTAGTAAGTGTGTGACAGTGATGTACGTTGTTTTACTTTGCTTGATTATGAATGCTAGTAGTGGTGAGGCTTTTATCCATGAAGACTCGCTGTCTGCATTTTCCCCTAGAATCAGGGCATAAATTCTACATGATTGCATCAAAATAGTTTATCTTTTGGATAATGAGCTCCATTAGTTGTGTTTGTTTAACCTACATTTTTTTATTCTGTTATTTCTTCTTAATTATATTTTTGGGCAAATTTTTAGAAATTTGCATTTAAATTGGCTCTATTCTTTTTTATAATATAATCTCCATGTCTTAAATACACAGAAATTTGTTTAATATGAGTGTGCTGCTCTGTTTTATTTTTAAAGGTTTATTAATTCCTGGCTTACTTGGAATTTCATATAGTATGTTGTGTGAAGGATGACTCCACGTTAATTTTTCTTTATTCTGGTATCCAGTTGTTCCCAAAATATTTATATAACAGTGAGTCCTTTCCACATTTACGTGTTGTTTCTCGCTTGACATCAATTAAGTTCTCATGATGGGCTGTTTTTTTTTTACTCTAGTCCATTGATTATTCTTTCTGTTATATAGTTTTGACAACATGTTACTTTATGGTTTATTTTTAAATCTAGCAGCATTTTTGCCATTTAATAATTTTATTACCTGATATTTTTGCTGTCTTTTAAGATGAGTGCTTTTTTACAATGTTTCTAAATTTCATAGATCATTCCATAAGATTTTAATGGTTATTGCATTAAATTTGTTGATTACTAAGAATCATGACTTTTGGGGATTTAGTTAGTCTTCTCAACCAGTACCAAGATACATCACTAACGGCTTTCCACTATGTATCTGAATCAGATATTAAATTGTCTTTACTTAAACCTCATGTGCCCTGACTCTATTGAGGGTAGCTATGTATTTTATAACACTATTTTTTTTGACAATTTTTACTTGTAGATTCAAATGAGATTCTTTGCTGAGCTCATGTATTTACCATACATTTTTTAAAATTTTCTGACATTTTCTAGATCATAATTGTGTGAGTGATGTTGTTTTTAATTCATATTTTTGGACACAGTTCTGTAAGGAGCATGCATTTTGAAAGCTGTTAATTTTTCTTTTTTTTTTTTTTTTCAGTGTCAGGGATAGGTACTTTTTGTCTGTTAACCACTTTTCTTTTGTACATTGTGTTAGCAAGTTGTTTAAGAACAAATTTAATGCCCTTTTTTGTCAGATTTTAAAAATTTAATATGATTTAATCTGAATGACAGAATTTTAAAATATTCATTTAGACAAGACAGGTCTTCGACTATTTTCTAGATTTCAACTTGTCTTTTTTTCTCTGAGGAATATTTTGGTAGGTGAAAGTGTATAGAATTTAGCTTTCCAATTCTAGTGAGTGTCTTATTTATATTATATGCACCCATTAAATACTTTTATGCAAAAATTGGTGAAAAAGTACTTTTTAGAAACAGAGGACTTTACCTTACTCATTTTGAATATTGTAAACAATATGACTGTATTATCTTCAGTCATTCTATGCCTTTATCTTTATTACTGTTATCTTTGCCTTCTTTTTTTCATTTACACAGTGTCTGTAGTTGGCTTTATTAAATTTTAAACTGCCAGATGATAGGACTGTGGCTTTTTGAACTGGACCTTAATAGGCCTGACTTTGACAGGCAGAAAAATAAAGCACTCCTGACAGAGAGAAGTAAAAGGCCATGAGGAGGTGTGGCTGCACGGGTGTGTTTGGGAAGCAGAGAGCAATATTGTGTGCTGGTGAAGAGAGTTCAGAGTGAGCAGAGAGAGAATCCCGGACAATGTCAGTTGGGGCTGGGTTCTGGGGCACCTTGGATGCTGGGTGAAGGAGTTTGGGCTTATCTTTGTTGCTGAGAAGCCATTTTGAAGGGAGGACTAACATCAACAAAGGTGAAATGTGACAGATTTCAAGCTGAATGGCAGGCAGAATGGCAGTCCCAATGTCAGAAACATGAAGGTCAAGAGGAGTGGACTGCAGAAGAGCTTGGGGAACTGGGCAGCATGTTTGATTCTACCATATTGATTTTGAGCTGCCAACAGGGCAGTAGGCAGCACTTAGCTCTCACTTGGAAGCATGAGATGGATTGCTAGGAAAAAAGATTTGGTTTTGGAATTCTAAGATCTGAAGGCTCCAGAAAGGAAAGCTAAGGACATAGTCTGAGATAGAAAAGGGTTGAGGAGCCAACTTCAAGGCTCCTTTTTACAGAAAAAAATGAAGAGGCAAAGAAGCAGTGGCAGAAGGCACAGGTCTAGGAAGGATGGGGTGGAGAGGAGGTGCAGAAAGGCACCTGCGGATTTCATGGCTGGAGATCTCAGGTGACTTTGGAGAGAGAGGCTTTAAAGGAGTGATGAGAAACAAGGCGGCTGGCTGAGGAATGACGACAGTGAGGAGGTGAAGACAGCAACACCAAACAACTTGACTGTGAGGGCAGCAAGTGAGTAGATGCAAGCGGTGAAGGCTGTTTGTGCTTTTCAGGACATGAACTCTTGTGCTCACACAAACAGTTCCACACCAGCCTGCCACCTTCTTCAGCGAGACTCATGAGCGACATCCATGATGCCCATTTATTACCTCCCACTCCTATGACTTTTTTATTTCGTCTCTGCTGGGAAATGCCTGCAGGAAACACCCAGTGACGTGACACGTTTTTAGTAACTTTGTGGTGACATCACTGTCTTCTCTGCTTACTGCAGCTTTCTGTTCACCAAATGCCCTTGCTGACCCCTCACACACACAGTCCTTTGACCTTGATTTCACCAGGAAATTCTCAGGCCGGAAAGAACTTTCAGTTGTCTTCACCATCCCCTGACTTCTACCTGTACATCTCCAAAATCTCCTCAAAAAAGATTTAAAAAAAAAAATCTGAAGTGGGAAAGATTTAGTGAAACACACACTTTTCAGCTAATAGCACATCCTGATCTTTAGTTCACAAATCTCTTCTCGTTTTGTTTTCTATTTTATCATTCACCCTCCAACTGCCCCCCGAACCATGGGCAGCCATTTAAAGCATTTGTTGTTATTTTTGCTTCTCTTATAGGTCATCAAAAACCTGAAAGCAAAATTTTTTTAGAAACTCAAATCATTCTTTAACTCCATAGCTTCAAGGACACAGAGACACATCCAGATGCTGATTTAAGATTGAGAGAGAAGGCACTGCCTACCTGGGCTATGAGTTTGCACCTAGTAAAGGGCTCTATCTTGTCACTCATCCTAGTGAGGACCAGGCAGCAGAGGTAGCAGAGGGTTGCCATTTCCTCTTTAAGGCAATTCCCTCCAGACTGGCTTCATGTGTTAATGTAAAATAGTAAGAAGTGCTAGAAGACTGTCATATAACTTTTATATGTTGAGAGAAAGCACCCTGAAGTCAAGTAGAAATGGTTCTGTTGCTATCTATTATTTTTTCTGTACTTCTAAGACTGTAAAAAAATTACCCATTACTATTTCCCCCCATCATTATCCAATAAATAAACTCTCAAGTCCCTTACTCCAACCATGATGCTCTAAAAGCATTTCTTTTTAGGCAGAATTTTACATTAGTTGCATTCTGGGATCAGGCCCCCTACCGTGTTCCATTGACTCCTCCCAGTGGGTGCCCCCCTCACTCCCAGTCTGACAAGCAGGTGTGTCTGTCTCTTTAGGAACGACTCAATCGCCGGAGCAGGAAGCTCAGAAAGGACATTGCAGAACTTCAGCGGCTCAAGGCTCAGCAGGAGAAGAAACTGCAGGCTCTGCAGGTGGGTTTTTCGGGTTCCTGGGAAGGACTCCCTGGAGTGTTCTCAGGAGCCCTTACTTAACTATTCTGGACATCTGTCTGTCCCTGGAGCAGCCTGATGTGGGCAGATGGTCGTGGAGGCTGAAAACCCGGGTGTTGGCCTTGGCGTCAAAGTTTGCTGGTTGAGTGACCTACGCAAGTTAAGCCCTCTGATCTTTATGTGACTTACATGTTAAATGAGAACCAGTCCTGCTCTACCTGGATCACAGTAGGGATCAAAGGAGACCAGTGTCTCGTCAACTGAAAATTACTACACAAGCCATAGGCCTCTGTTTCTTTTTATTTTATTTTATTTTTTTTTTGAGATGGAGTCTTGCTCTGTCGCCCAGGCTGGAGTGCAGTGGCACGAACTCCGCTCACTGCAAGCTCCGCCTCCCGGGTTCACGCCATTCTCCTGCCTCAGCCTCCCGAGTACTGGGACTACAGGCACTTGCCACCACGCCCAGCTAATTTTTTCTATTTTTTAGTAGAGATGGGGTTTCACCATGTTAGCCAGGATGGTCTCGATCTCCTGACCTCGTGATCCGCCCGCCTTGGCCTCCCAAAGTGCTGGGATTACAGGTGTGAGCCACCGTGCCCGGCCGCCATAGGCCTCCATTTCTGTCTCTGACAGTCTACCTTTCTATTCCTCTTGGTCACATGGCATCTGTAGATATTCAGAGAGTGAGGTGGAAAGGTGAGGTGTCCCTGCCTTTATGAGAATCAAAGCTGCTTCTGCAATACCTGTGACACACAGAGGCAACACCATGAGGGCAAGAGGATTGAGGAATCAGCATTCCTGCTCAGACATTCAGAGACTGTGAAGGGCCAGGAGGGAGCCACCTGACACTGAGTCTTAGGGAGCCCCTTTCCTGTAGTTTCAGGTAGACCACGGGAACCACAGGCTGGAGGCTGGGCCGGAGAGCCAGCACCAAACCAGGGAACAGCTGGGTGCCCTCCCCCAGCAGTGGCTGGGCCAGCTGGAGCACATGCCAGCAGAAGCGGCCAGAATCCTTGACATCTCCAGGGCAGTAACACAGCTCAGAAGCCTGGTCATTGATCTGGAAAGGATGGCCAAGGAATTAGACACCAACACACTGAAGGTGCATACCCTGAGGCCTTCCCCAAGGGCTGGGATTCTCCCCGATAGGAGGCAGCCCATCTGCATCACCCTTCTGGAAGGTGTAAGAGGGAGGGGCCTGTGTGATATGTGGTGACTTGTGGTAGATGTGGCTTGTTCCAGGCTACAGAGTGCTGCTGCAGCAGAATGGGCACAGAAGAGGGGTGTTGCTATGTTCCCCCAGTTCTCAAGGTGGCACCCCAGAGTGGCCTCCAAGAGTGAATTGGGAAAGGAATTTGGAGGTGATAGGAACCTGAGAACCAATTATGATTCTCACTTTTTCTCTCTCCTAGAATGCTGGTGACTTACTGAACAGGTACGAGCTGTCCCTTCTTCTTTCCCACATGTGCATATAAACCCACACAACACAGACATGCACAGAGGTCAAGGAGACCCACTGCTCCGTTAGCTTTTGTATCTTGATGCTACATGGCCAATGGAAGAGCCAATGGAATATATGAATACATATTAATCTATGAAGGATTTCTTTGTTTCTAGGAGTGCTCCACAGAAATTAGAGGTTATTTATCCCCAGTTGAAGAAAGGAGTCAGTGAATTGCTTCTTCAGCCCCCTCAGAAGCTCTGACCTGTTCATCCCTGGGACACCTCACTTCAGGCTCACCTCAGCCTCCTCTCTCTCCTTCCTCCAACCTGTCCAGGCCCCCACTGGGTCTACCCAGTGCATCTTCGGGCCTGCCAGCTCCTGAACATGTCACCATTTCTTCATGTCCACAGTCATCACCTGATGCCTGACCCTCTGACTCTTGGACGATAGCCAGCCTCCTTCCAGGACAGGCTCATGCTTGGGGCTGCCACTGTGGAGGTCGGGGCCCATGGTCTCCAGGAGCATTTGTGAAATCTCCATTTTGCCTGTAAACTGATGGTAGTGCCCATCTCTCACAATCTCATTCAAATAGGATCCTCCAGGCCTCTGAATGGCCCGAGCTCATCAGCAGTGACATCACCTCACATGTGGAGCCCAGCTGAGTTCCTGCAGTACTTGTTGTCTGTACCACTCACCTGGCACTTATTTATTATTGTTGTGGAAGACAGACTCAAAGACAGCCTCCCTTCGTGATCCTCACCTCTTGGAATTCATGCCCTTGTTTGGTCCCCTCCCCTTGAGTGTAAGTGGGATCTGTGACTTGCTTCTAATCAATGGAATAAGGCAAAGGTGATAGGGTGTCACTCTGGCAACTGTGTTGCATTGTATAGAACTCCTCCTTGCTGGCCCACCCTTTTAGAGCCCCTCCTAGGAGCCAAGAGCAGCTTCCAGCCAACAACAAGCAGAGGCCCTCAGTCTTGTGGCTGCAAGAACCTGAATTCTGCCAACAACCTGAGTGAGCTTGGAAGCAGATTCTTCCCCAACTGAGCCGGATAAGAACCTAGTCCAGCCAACACCTTGATTATAGTCTTGTGAGTACCTAAGCTGAGGACCCAGTGAAGCTGTGCCAAAATTTCCCACCCACAGAAACAGTGTGACAATAAATGTGTGTGTGTTTTTTTGTTTTCTGTTTTCGTTTTTGAGATGGAATCTCACTCTGTTGCCCAGGCTGGAGTGCAGTGGTGTGATGTCGGCTCACTGTAACCTCTGTCTCCTAGGTTCAAGCAATTCTCCTGCCTCAGCCTCCCTAATAGCTAGGGATTATAGGCGCCCACCACCACACCCGGCTAATTTTTTGTGTTTTTAGTAGAGACAGGGTTTAACCATGTTGGCCAGGCTGGCCTTGAACTTCTGACCTCAGGTGATCAGCCCACCTTGGCCTCCCAAAATGCTGGGATTACAGGTGTGAGCCACCGCGCCTGGCCATGTGTTGTTATAAGGCAGTAAATTTGTGGTAATTTTTGTGGAGTAATGGATAATGAATACAATTGTATATTAGTCATTTTTGTATAAGCCTCACTTCTTTGGGTGAGCAGGGATCATATTCTGTCTGTGTCCTCATGTCTAGAACAGTGTCTGGCTCATAGCTGGTGTCCAATAAAATTTTAAATGTATGTATAAGTGAACTAATAAGAAAGCATAAGGAAGGGCTCTTCTCAATCCTCTGATTAAAAAGAGCCATCAATTACCTTATAATCAGTATTTATTGAGCCCTTGCCAAAGTAGTCAATACCATACTGAGAGGTATAAGGAATAAAACATGGCCACAATTATAAAACAAGCCACGTGGTGGTGCAAAGAGTGAAAACTACAGGGTCAGACTTGAGTTTAGGTCTCGGTCCTGACACCTAATGCCTCTGTAACCTTGGGCAAATTACTTAGCCTCTCTGAACCTCTGTACTCCCCCCTCTAAAATAAGGGTTATGGTACCTGTGGCCTGGGATTGTTGTCAAAATTAAATACATGCTGAGTGTCTGCTAAAGTGTCTAAAACGTAAACATTCAAATATGTTCATTTTATCTTTTTTTTTTTGGTGTATTCTGGCTTTATTGTTATTTTTTTTAATTATACTTTAAGTTCTAGGGTACATGTGCACAATGTGCAGGTTTGTTACATATGTATACATGTGCCATGTTGGTGTGCTGCACCCATTAACTTGTCATTTACATTGGGTATTTCTCCTAATGCTATCCCTCCCCCCTCCCCCCACCCCAAAACAGGCCCTGGTGTGTGATGTTCCCCACCCTGTGTCCAAGTGATCTCATTGTTCAATTCCCACCAATGAGTGAGAACATGCGGTGTTTGGTTTTCTGTCCTTGCGATAGTTTGCTGAGAATGATGGTTTCCAGCTTCAACCATGTCCCTAAAAAGGACATGAACTTATCCTTTCTCATTTCATCTTTTTTTAAAAAAACCACTTCCCCTTTTGAAATGAAATATGGAATGATAAAAAAATTTTAAATAAATTCCACTTCACCATCCAGAAGTTTATAATTTAGCTGTGGAACTATGACTAAACAGATACAGAAAAAGAAGAGAGCGTGTAACTGCACTGAATTAGGTATCACAGAGGCTAAGTGCCCTGGGAATTCAGAGGAAAGAAACAGCGAGCCTGGGAAAGTCAGGGTAGGTTTTGTGGGGGAGGTGGGGATTGGACAAGTGGGAGAGGAAGGTGAGAACATTCTAGGTCACAATAACCACATGAATGAAAGCATAGAGGTAGGAAAAAGCCACGGCACCTTTGTAGGAGTGTGAGGAAACCAACCTGGTTAGGCTGGAATGTTCAGGAATGGGGAAGACGAGAAGTCAACAGGCTAAATGGATGACACCAAGACATAGTGAGGTTTCTGAGTCAGGAATGAAGGGAGAAGTGGTGTTTAATGAAAGCCAGTCTGGATCGTTTGCACAAGAAGGACTGGGACAGAGAGTTGGGGGCTGGAAGGAGAGGGGAGGAGAAAGAGCCTAGTGTAGATGTTCAGAAAAAAGGTATAGTTATTTGGCAAGAAGCTGCAGATCTCAGAGAAACATAAGATCCCAAATCTAAGAGCAAGACATTAGCCAAGGAAAGAACACCCCTGAAAGTGACAGCTAGCAATACCTGCATCCCAGATGGAGTTAATGTCACCAAGAGAACTTGTACTAGGAGTAGGAGGCTGACAGCCCCCAGGGTCTCTCCTCAGGAGAGAAGTCAGTTATACTGAAGATGCCTTCCAGGCCCCCCTTGGTCCCTTCTGACGTCACCGCAGATGATCAGGCCAGGGGTGGGAGTCTGAACAGCAGATAATTGGCCAAACAAGTCTATGAGGTCACCTATCAAGGAAGACCTTATCAAAGAGGGACAATAGTAATTAACTGAAACCATCAGGTCCTCTCGGAGATTCAGAAGGGATCCATGATGAATGTGTCATTAGTTGGCAAGAAGAGCAGACACAGAGAGAATCAGAGATGCATGTGCAGCCACGATGTATTGGAACAGGTGTCCATGACCCATGCTGCTGAGAGGCCGCAGGAATATCCAGTCTTCACGCTTCTTTGGACTTCGAGCCCACTTCTTACCGGTAGGTCCTGGGCATACAACATACCACTGCATAATGGTCATGAGCACAGACTCGGGAGCCAAACCACAAGACTTCAAATGCTGGCTCTGCGACTTACTATCAGCTGATTTGAGACCAGCTGCTCGGCCTCCACATGTCTCAGTTCTCTTATGTACAAGATGGGCACCTACCTCCTGAGGTTGTTGTGAGGATTAAATGAGTTAATATATACAAATATTTATTATGGTGTTTGGCCAAAATAAGTTCTATGTGTGTGATTGTTATCAGCATTTTTGGAATCTCTAGTTCTTCCTACAGGAACGAGTGGTGACCCCACCAACTCACTCACGCCTGACATAGCTTCTCACGGGGCCTGGCTCATGGTGGAAAATCGCATTTTCCTTATTTCTGCTTTTATAATAAACTTACCTATCATTTGAACTAACTTGAGTGGGTCTCAATTCTTTGCAATAGAAAGGGTTGCTACCATGTAAGCTGTGAAAAATGAGGTGTAAACTGTGGATGTTACAAATGTGCAACAGTCCTTCAGAGTCGGAAAGGGTAGCTGGGACTCTGGGGCCTCTAGACTTGAGCACTTCCTGGGGAGGGAACCCAGAGTCCCACTTCCGGCCAGCAGAGCAAGGAGGTTCATTAAGCTGCCTTATCTTGAAGTTACCAGGTTTTAGGATCTATCCACTTCCCCTGTGCTGACTCCATACTCCGAAAGCAAGTAAACTTCAAGTAAAATTACCCTAGGGGAGAAGCAGGTACTGACAGACCAACATGAGTGTTTTCACTTATGAGCAGTTTTATTTCTCAGTGTAAGACATATAAATTGTTCTCACTGACATATAACTATTAAAAGAAAAATAAAATAAAACAATTTAAAAAGAAGAAATATAAATTGTATTTCTGAATCCAAGTCACCTGTGGGGGTGTAGCCAGCATTAAAATAATCGCCAGGACCCATGCAGGCATCTATCTCTGAATGAGGCAGTGCAGCATAGCAGTTAAGAGCTCTTGGGTCAGACATGGATGAACTGGTTGCATGATCTTGGCTCGTTACCAAGATAAAGTGACACAAGGTGTGTAAAGCTCCCGAGCTGCAAGCCAGGATCTTCATACACATACATTTTAGAGGATAATAGTCCTTTCAAAAGACACAGCTAAAGCCAATAAAAATAAACAGAAAAATAGGATCTACCTTTCTGGAATCACAGGTTTGGGTGCTTTGCATATGTTTTATCATTATATAGGCACTTGTGTGTGTCTGTATTTTTTTGAATATACAACATTTTAATGAGATACTGCACACTCCCAGGGAAAGCAATTCAATCTTTAATCCCTGGCTTCTGATCTCCACCTCTTTTCTACCTGCTGAGGTAAGGATGAACAACAGAACTTCTCAATTGAATTCTAAGCTTGGGCCTAAGCACGCTGTGCCCTCTGCCTTTGAGTTTGCACCCTGGATGGCTCCCCTCCTCCCAGGAGACCCAGTAGGGAGATGACAGAGCATTGTATTTTACATCTGAGCAGAGTAAACAGATGATGTTAAGGAGACTGTCAGTGAAGGGCATGATTATGCAAAATAAAATACAATAGTGACAAGAACAAGAAAATAAAACATGGTCACTCTTCCATCCCATTTCTCAGATGTCACTACAGTAGTCTCAATTACGGTAGTCTCAATTCTTTAGACTAAAGGTCATAGGTCATCCAACTTATGCCCTGGCCTCCTTCTGGAATTCTTTTACCTAGCAGTTTCTGAGCCCACAGCTGAGCTATTTGTGACCCATTTGCTCCCACTATCTCATTTCTTGACCTCAGATGGTAATCAACTGATCAGGAAGACAATTTCCCTAGGGTTGAGTGTGGTCCCTGGGTTATGATTTATGGCTATACCTTATGTCCTCCTGCCCCCAGGCCCTGCACCTTAATCTCACCCAGAAGTGGCAACACCAGGAGGAAGGAGGCAGTGAGTGGTGTCGGCTGGGGATGGCACACATCTGCCCATAAGGACAATGGAGACAACCCAGTGCTCCAGAGTCACAGGTCATCCAGCCAGTTCTCTGCTGTTTCCTCTTCTTAAGATGCTTCTTCCCCTCTTTTCCCTATTGACTATAGGCATCCTTTAGACTACCCTTTTCAGAAAGCCATCCCCCACTCATCCTCTCCTTCCAGGCTGGGCTATGCCCCTTCCCCTGAACTCCCATAATGCTGGGGTTGGACTTCCCGTAACACCCACCACACTGTGCTATAATTTCCTCTTTATGTTTCTCTGTCTTCCCAAGAGCTCTTTCAGATATAGAGCAGGTTTTTTTTTTCTCTACATTTTCAAGTCACCAGTGGCCACCACACTGCTTGGTTCATAGTTAACACAAACTAAATGGTTCTAGAGAATGTGATTACATGAACTCTAACATTATTGGAAGAAAACAAGATGAAAAGAGGTGAGATGCCTTGTTTAAAGTCATACAACTGGTTGACAGGCTGGTTCAAGAACCCAGGTCTTCTGACTTCAAATCCAGTGCTCTTTCTATGCAGCTACTTCTGTGCCAAGCACGGATGGTGGTGAGCAGAACTGGCAGCAGCCTGAGTCCCCAGGTACCCTGGCCATCCACTGGGCATTGGGGAAAGGACTTGATCAGTAGATTGAGAGTCCTCTCTTCTATCCCTTACCACCCGGCCCCATCCCATCTTCTAAAGCAGTCATTTCTATTCCAAGTCATCCAGGTGATTCAGCCAGGGATCAAGTCCACATGGTACTTGGGTTGATATGAGTCCTGTACTTAGAGGAGAGTAGGTAACTGCTCCTTCTCAGGAGCTCAGGGAGAAACTGGACCCTCGGCCCCAGAGCCCAAAGAAGGGAATGACCTTCCTAGTGAAGGAGGCAGTGAAGGTGTAGATGGGCTCTCGGGTGACAGCGTTGGTGAAGGTCACCCAGCCCACCTCATAGTCAAGAGACACCCTCACCTGCCGGGGCTGCTCCTTCAGGGTCAGCCGTGTGGGGAAGGAGCCCAGAGCCGAGACGAAGCCCCAAGCCAGCCTCACAGCCCACACCCCCTCCTCTGGCCGCAGCCGAAGCTCCCCCTTCCGCTGCACATCCTCGCTCACCACGCCCACGGTGCAGCTGCCCCCATGGGCCAGGTCTATACTCACCACCCACGTGTGTCTCCCCCCTGTGATGCCAGTGTGGGCCAGAACACAGGTGGCCCGGTCAAAACGCTGGGGGTTGTCTGGTGAGTTCTGCCATTTGTAGGAGAACTGAGCTCGCTGGTGGTCCTCGGACAAGAGGAGCTTGGGGTGGGAAGTCTGAGGGTCTAGAGAAATGTGAGCTGTGGGGATAACCAAAAGGGACAGATGTCAGCAGACATGCTATTACCTCCAAGGAAGGCATAGAAACTCCCCCTGGGCCCCTCCTGTTAGTGTTATTATTACCAAAAACATGTATAGTGCCTACGTGGGCCAACAGTGTGGAACCACCTGGGAACTTGTTAGATATACGCTCTCAGAATCTGCATCCTAACAAGATGCCCAGGTGATTTGCACACAGGTAAAGCCTGAAAAGCCTGCCTCAGAGGATGTGAAAGCTCTCGTTTAGTTCAGTGTGGTCCTCGGGAAAGCTCTTCTGCTCACCGCAAGTTGGTTGGTTTCCAAAGCTGTGCGTGCCAGCTTGGATCTCCTGGGGCTGATATACCACATTCTCCCCTCCTCCCATCTCTATCCCACAGTGCAGCGACATTTCTCCCTTCAGTCCAAACTTCATGATTCCTCCCTGTTTTCCTCCCAGGGCACTGGTGACTCATTTACAGTCTTCCCTCCTGGCAGGCTCTCTGGCTCACCCCTGGGTTATTCACTCTGCCTCAGTAATTCTGAAACTGTCAGAGTCTGAGGACCACTTTTTACCACCAAAAACTGCTGCAGAGCCTTGCGTTTTGTTACTTTTAGTATTCATAAATTGAGAAGCTTCCATAAATTTAGGTCCATCTGTGGGTTAGAGAACCCCCTCCAACAACTCCGTGACTCCCAGGGTCTTAGGCTGGTTGATTAAGAAATGACAGCCTTGAAGGGGTCCATTCTGTTCATTTTTTTCCCACCCACAGGCCGCCCTCCTTCTGTCATCTGTGAAATGACATCTGAGAGGAAGCAGGGGTTCCTTACGTTCTAAAGAGGTGATTATAAACCCAGATCAAAGTCCCCTTTATCCAGAAAGCATTCCCAGATGGACTTTATCCCATTCTGCATTAATCTTTCTATCTACTCGACATGCGCAGATCAGGATGTGAGCTTCATACCACGAATGTAGTATGTGTATGTGCTTGTCCTTTCTTCATGTTTCTCCTGAGAGCCTTACAAACAATGTGACACACACACACACACAACCTATATATACACACATGTATTATATACACACACATATGTGTATATATAATATATATGATGTGTATATGTATCCATGGGTGTTTGTTATGACTATTGTCATAGTCATAACATAGTCATAGTGCAAATCCTGCAAAATTTTCTCTCCTTTCCGAGGACTTCTCATTCTCTCCCATCCTGACATAGGCTCCTTACCTGGCTCATAGTCCAACTCAAAGCATAGTTTTTCTGTAAAGAAAATAAACCAGGATGAGATTTTATTAGTCTTACAAAACCATCAGACACTTAATGATGAGAAAACTGAGGCCAAGAAGAGGGAAGGGACAAGAAGAAGAATGTAAGCTGGAATCCTCTAGACCAGTGGTTCCAAGCTTGCATCAGAATCATCTGGAGCTCTTGTTAAAACACATCTGTTTCAGATTCAGGTGCTCTGGGGTGGAGCTGAACATCTGTATTTCTAACAATTTCCTGGGCAATGCAGCTGCTGCTGCTGGTGGGAGCCCCACTGCCCTAGCCCTGATCAAACAGGGACCATGACTGCCTTGCTCACCTCTGTACCCGCAGAGCCCAGGACATAGTAAATGCTCAAGAAATATCTGCTTAGTGAATAGAGAAATGGGTTCATTTATTTATTATTCCACTTGGAAATAATTTTGGGGAGAGTCAAAGGTCAGCCTTTGATTAGAGTGAAATTTCCTTCACTGACAGGTCACTGGAAGTATTTGCAGGAAATGGAATTATGGGAAAAGTCCTTCTAGGGTGACATAACTGTGGGTGGGTCATTTCAAAATTGGTGTCATCATTCATTCTGTCATGGTTAGTGAGGAGGTGGTTGGCAGAGAGCCATGTCCCATTCCTGACTCTCATCCAAACCCTCCCCCACACCCTACCACCACTCCCTGTTCCGGAAAAGGAAGTGGAGCACAGTCCCCGTAGGACCGTCTAACTCTGAGCCAGACTAACAGAAAGAAAGTGAGAAGGAAGGAGGGACGAGCCAGATACCACAGGGTCAAGATAAATACTGTTGTTGGCTATTAATTAACAATGTTCATCATCAAAAACTTATCACATATTACAAATGTTGCTGTGGGATTTTTTAACTTATTAAGAATGATATATTGTTAATCATTATCTTTCATATTGCTTAATGACCACTAATCAGATTTGTTGAATTATTTTAAAATCAGTTTAACTTTTTCACCAGAAATATTCACCTTTATTCTCTTTCTTCATTGTCACAATATCCTAATAGGCAGATTTTATAAAAATCTGCAAATAAGGAAATCAAGGCACAGGAAGGAATAAGGCTTGCCAAAGTCACACCTTTCAGCAGTGGAGCGTGGAGGCCACTCCTAAACCCAGGCTTCATGGCCACCTGCGCTCTGTGGAGGCCTGGGGTTCTCTTACCCAGAAACATCTTCATCTCCCTCTGCAGCGGGAGGGCCTGCTGGGGAAAGTCCCGAATCCTCTGGCCCAGCTCTGGCGACACAGCCACCGGTTTCCGGCACTTTCTGGTTTCACATCTAGGGGCACAGAAATGGCTGGGTCTGGGAATTATCATCCTTAATAATGTCTCCAGACTCAGCTGGTCATCTTCTAATAGGGCATGATGGCGCTAGTTCCTGCAGGCAGACGTACTTCCTCTAGGATGAATCCCACTGCCCATTTTTGGGCATCTATGGATATACCTGAGAAGGCATTTGGGTATATAGAGGTTTATATGTAAATTTGTATCCTTAAGTGAGAATGTTATATACCTGTGTGGCAATAACTAGGCATGCAGTACATGTATGTATATTTATATGGAAAAAGAAAAGAGAGAAACTATATTGCTTACCTTATTAGAGTGCTTCTGATGTCCTAGGAGAAAGAGATACCAGAAATTCAGTTTCCAGCTTCTCCTTTCCATTTTTCTTTCCTTTCTTTTTCTACTTTTATTTTATTTATTTTTTATTTGCTTGTTTGTTTGTTTGAGAAAGGGTCTCACTCTGGTGCCCAGGCTGGAATACAGTGGCGTGATCATGGCTCACTGCATACTCAACCTCCTGGGCTCAAGGGATCCTCCTACCTCAGCATCTTGAGTAGCTGGGACTACAGGTGTTTGTCACCATGCCTGGCTAATTTTCTTTTTTTTTTTTTTTTTTTTTTGTAGAGATGGGGTTTTGTTATGTTGCCCAGGCTCCTCCCACTTTTCTTATGACTGGAAAAGACAAAATATATTTCTAGCCCTGGACAGGAAAAGGATACCAGATGCATAGAGTCACAGAGCATTAGGACTCACCCATCTCTGTGGATCAGAGCCCAAAGCCTTTATTTTTTAGATAAAGATGGTGAAGTGACCTTCCCCTGCTCACTGGAGGCAAAGTAAGTCTCATACCAAGGTCTCCTGTTTCTCAGTCCTAAGAGCATCATTCTAAGTCATGCTGCCTTTCCAATACTTTGTGGGGACCCCAATACCTCTCCTCCAGTGTGAGGAAGTGAAATAGACCAGGACAAACTTCCTGACTGGTGGTTGGTGACATTTAGGTTATAGAGAATGGTTTGCAACTTACTTAATACTTTTTCAAAGTGCTACTTTCACTTCCATCTTACTGTTGGATCCTCACAAAAGCCCTGTGAAATATTTAAGGAAAGTATCTTCCCTATTTGGCAGATGGTGGGACGGAGAGGTGGAGACCAGAGAGCAAAAAGTGACCAGGGAACTCTTGGAAAAGCATGAACTAGAATTGAGACTTTCTGGTCCTCTGACCCACCTCCCATCTGGGATACAGAGATGTGTGAGTCAGGGAGACATGGCTTAGGCAAGACAAAGATGCAAGAGTCACAGGACAGCACAGGTGGGGCAGGGTTCCGGTTCAGGCCTCACCGTCAGGAGCTCCCTTGCTGGCCTCTCATTCTTCTCCTCCAGTTCTTCAATAAGAGCACTAAACCGGCAGATCTCCCCAGCAACCAGCAAATCAAATTCATCCCGTTGCCTCAAGATGTCCCCATCCTGGCTCTCCAATTGTGCTAAGAGGATGCTCTGCTGTTCCTCTAGAAACTTCCTCAGGTGTGCGAACTCAGAAATCACCTGTTGTCTCTTGGTGGACACCTGAGTCTGAGGGGGCAGGAGGCAAGCCCAAGAGAAAGTTTGCTTCCTCCTTCTCCCTCTGCTCCTCTTCCTCCCCTGTCCCCAGGTAGATCTGGAACTGTGTCATGGTTTCCTTTTCACTTGTCATCCCATTTCGAGAAGCAAGACTCACAGTGTTGTCTCAGCACCATCTGCTGCAGCTTCTAAAAGGGGTAGGGCTTACAGGAGGTGTAGGAGGAGGTGGTGGGGACACCCTACCTCCTGTCTTGTATGAAAAGCACATTATGTGCACAGCCCTGAGCTACTTTACAGTCACAATCTCATTTAATGCTTACAGTAATTCAATGAGGTCATGATGATTTTTACTCTCCATTTTACAGATAAGTAAACTGAAGTTGGAGAGTTGCTTGAGGTCATAGAGTTAGTGTCAGAGTCAGGATTTAAACTCATAATAACTTCAAAGCCCTATAATCTATGTTGCCTCAGTTTCAGGAAGACACTGGACCCTGAGGAAGGGGAGGAACCTGGGGAAGGGGTGATGACTTACCAGGAGGACTTGCATCCTTTTATTTTCTCTTGACTGGATTTCTTGAATCTCCTCTCTCTCTTTTCTTAGACATTTAAGACACTTATGGATTTGTTCCTGGGGAGAAGGAACATAAAATACTCAAGATGGAAAATGATTTGTTCAGGTTTGTCTGGTCATCTGACCCTCTGCCTCCAGGAATGAAATGGCCCCAGGAGAGGAGTCCCTTCCTTAGCTGACAATCCCCGAGCCTTCACCACCCTGACAGCTTACTCCCTTTGGGTCTTCTTCCTCTTGATTTGTCTCTAAGACTTTGGATCAGGACTTTCCCCCTTTATCCTGTGCCATTAGAGGCTGTGACTTGGTTTTCCCACTTGAGTCTTTCTTCAGGTTTAACATTCTATTGTGTTTTGCTTCAGGTAAGTGGTATCTGGGGTCTGTACTGAGTTTGATATGCCCCGCACTGAAATCATTCTGAGTTTCCGACTCATCCCAAAGGAACATGTGTAAATAACAACCCTCCCTTGTTACTGAAATCAATTATCTGTGTATGACTCCAGAGGGGAGAAGAAACTTGGGTAATGTAAAAATAATTGATAAATTGTTTTCAAAATTATTTGCTCCAGAATAGAGTTAGGAACAGGTACACACACGATAAATATGTGTGTTCAAAGATATATTAGAATTCTCACTATCAACTGCTAATTAACTAATTAAGACATCCACACACAGACTTGTACTAAAACATAATTCATAAGCACAATGCATAAACAACTAAAACCAGCACACATTCATTTAATGACAGATAAAATGGCATGCCACATACATTTACCCAGCCTGAATATATGTAAACACGAATTTATTCACAAACAGGAGCTCTCAGTTACACTTACACACTCAAATATATACATACTCAGACTCCCATCCAAACACACCAGACACACTTCTAAACATGCAAACATTAACACATATACACACTGTTTGTACAATCATTCCCTCAAATGCAAACTTCAGACACACCTGATCCATGGCACAGACACACACACTCATGTTTGGTCACTCATTCATTCAACAAGTACTTGTTGAACTCCCGTTATCTGTTGGCCACAAGTGAACACAGAACACACTCAAAAAAACATAAAACATAAACACAATTTTCCATGCCTGGGTCTATTGCCTGGGTGATCATGTAAGTAAGGAGAAAGAATTTGGCCTCCGGGTGGCCTAAATAATCCACAACTCTGCTGTTTCTCTTAGTCCAGTCCAGTCCACCCTGGGATCCCCCAGTTCCCCTTTCCTACCCTATAGGGAGCCGCTGCATCCTCCAGGAAGCGCATGGTGTGGGTAGCGTGCTCCCCAGCCTCCCGGCACACCACGCACAACTGCATCTCATCATCCTCACAGAAGAAGTAGATCTTCTCTCCGTGCTCTTGGCAGACATCCTCCTCTCCCAAACCCAGTGTGGACACCAGCTGGAGGCGCTCAATGTTCTCCACCACGTTAGCCAGCTGCCAGTTGGGCCGGAAGCTCCCAGGACGGAAGGGTTCTTTGCAGAGTGGGCAAGTAGGGGACTCCTCCAGGTCTGGGCCTGGTATCTCACAGTAGCGGGTAAGGCAGGCCCGGCAGAAGTTGTGGCCGCAGTCGATAGTGACCGGCTCCCTCAGGGTACCCTGACAGATGGGGCAGTTGACTTCATCTGCCAGGCTGGTCACAGAGGCAGCAGAGGCCATGCTGGTCCTGCTGCTATGGCTTCCTCAAGGCCACTCTCTCTGCTTGGCCACGGGGGAAGGGCTGGGTCACACACTCACACACCCACACATGCACATGGCTGGACACAGGCACATACTAAATATGCACCAGCACCCATATCGTCACACACTTGCATCTCTGGCAGCCAGGGTTCTATTCTCCTGCCAACAGCAGAGATGGGAAATAGCAGAGGAGAGGAAGGAAGAGGGGCTCACAGCATTTCAGAGGTGACCTTAGATGACCATAACCAGGGGCTGGCCATTCCTTTCTGCCCATCCAGAGACACTCACAGTAGAAGGAAAGTGGTGATATGTCAGCTGTCCACTGTCAGAAGAAATATTCTTTTGGGGGCAAGTGGGAGACTGGGTCACAGAGTGGAGATGCCATTCCAGCCTTTCTGCCATATGGCCAGCTGTCTCCAAAGAGATTGGAGGTATCAGCCAGCCCAGGGCTTGCCCATCAGCAAGCAGGAGAGTGTGGGGGCTCAGATAAGGTCCTTGTGCCAGGGTGTACACTGCACCAGCAACTTCAATGGTGATGCCTCAACTGGCCTGCTGCAGGCCTCAAAAGAGGCTGGAATATTCCCTATGATGGGGAGGAGAAAGAAAACTACTAACGGCCAGAATTTATTTACAATGACGGTACAACTTACATTGATACAAGCAATTTGGCCAGAATTTATTTACAATGACGGTACAACTTACATTGATACAAGCAATTTAAAAGTATGATCTTATTTCTGTGTCTGCTCTGCAACATCAGTGCTATTAGGATCTCCATTTCATAAATGAGAAAGCTGAGGCCCAGCCAGGTTATTCAGCTTGCCCTAGGCACACAAGTAAGAAGGTGAGTGACCATAAATAATTTGCTGTCAGATCTGTCTTCCGAGCAATGCTATTCAACATAAACGCAAAGTGAGCCACATATGCAATTTAAAATTTCCTAGTGGCCATATAAAAATAGTCTAAACAGGTGAAAGTAATTTTAATGATGTTATTTTATTTAGTCCTATATTTCCAAAATATTATCATTTCAATATGTGATCCATATAAAAAGTCATTAATAAGATATTTTACATTTTTAAATTTGTGAAAAGCCTTTGAAATCCGGTGTGTTGGCCGGGCGCGGTGGCTCACGCCTGTAATCCCAGCACTTTGGGAGGCCTAGGCGGGCGGATCACGAGGTCAGGAAATCTAGACCATCCTGGTTAACACGGTGAAACCCCGTCTCTACTAAAAATACAAAAAAATTAGCCTGGCGTGCTGGCCGGCGCCTGTAGTCCCAGCTACTCGGGAGGCTGAGGCAGGAGAATGGTGTGAACCCGGGAGGAGGAGCTTGCAGTGAGCCAAGATCGCGCTACTGCACTCCATCCCGGGAGACAGAGCGAGACTCCATTTCAAAAAAAAAAAAAAAGAAAAGAAAAAAGAGAAAAAGAAAAAGAAAAAAAAGAAATCCGGTATGTATTTTACATATACAGCATGCCGCCATTCAGACCGGCCACATTTCAGTGCTCAGTAGACACATGTGGCTGGTGGCTCCTGTATTGGACAAACTAGTTCCTGGGCTGCACTCGTGGCAGGAAGAGCAGAGATTGGATGGGAAGGGGAGGTAATAAAGTGATTAGAGTAAAAAGGGAGCAACCACAAGGGGCTAGGCTGATCACCCAGTGGGAGAATGGGGGAAGGCCTGGTTTTATCCACAGATGTGTGCATGGGTGAAGGACCGTGGCTGCAGATCTTGGTCTTGGCATGAGGTGTGGGAGGAGCGTAGGGCTTTAAGCCAGGAGACTGGGATCGTCCTTAACGTGATACTTTCTAGCTTTGTGACCTTTGGAAAGTCACTTTACATTTGGAAAGTCAGTTTACATTTCTTTCTCTGTAAAATGAAGGTAATAATGTTTGCCTAGAGGGTTATTAAAATTGAATGTAGTAATATAAAAATACTAAACCCTAGATAAATGTGGTTGAAACTGATTATCTGACTAATCGTTTTCTAATGTGTATCAACATAAATCATTTGCATTATGGTTTCTTGCCTTCTCCCCGCTACAGTAAAAATAAATAAATAAATAAATAAATAAATAAATAAATAAATAAAATAGTCCAGTGTTACCCGAACCCCAAAGGGGACTGTTGTGCCAGGTGGTGGGGGATTTGGGACCGTAGGAGGGGCCACCATGGGCAGATGTGGTGAGGGAGGAAAGGAGAGCAGAAGAGGGGACCCGATGAGCAATCCTTACACCCTACCTGCAGTGTCGAAACAGCGTCCCGCCCACACACTTCCGGCAGAATCTCCCGAAGTCCACACCTCTCACTCCAGCCTGGACTTTGATGCTGTGGGCACGCCTCAGAGCCAGAAGTTTATGGCTCCCACCTGCTCAATCTGACAGGAAGCTTCTGCTCCCCAGTTCTCCCCAGCCACTGTGGTCTACAGATTCCAGGAAACCCATCCCCCTGTGACCTCATGGTGTGCTCTGTTCTCCACCCTAGGGACCAGAAGGAGCCAGGAGTAAAGAACTGGCTTACTTGGCCGCCACTGGGAAATTCTGGGTAATTCGAGACGCCCTGGAATTTGGACCCACTCCGCTGATAGGTGGTGGCCAGGGTTCTAGGGAACACAAGAGGCGGAGCCAGGTGGCTTCCCTGTGCTGGCATTCTTGCCTCTCTCTCTCTTTCTCTCTCTCTGTCTCTCAGCCTTGCAGCCGTTTCCCTCTGCGATTCATGTAAGTGTGACTCGATTTCAGGGAAAGGGAACTCGCGTGGGCTGAGGAGACCGGAGTGGACGGGCTGGGGAAGGCACCGTGATGCCCGCAACCCCGTCCCTGAAGGTGGTCCATGAGCTGCCTGCCTGTACCCTCTGTGCGGGGCCGCTGGAGGATGCGGTGACCATTCCCTGTGGACACACCTTCTGCCGGCTCTGCCTCCCCGCGCTCTCCCAGATGGGGGCCCAATCCTCGGGCAAGATCCTGCTCTGCCCGCTCTGCCAAGAGGAGGAGCAGGCAGAGACTCCCATGGCCCCTGTGCCCCTGGGCCCGCTGGGAGAAACTTACTGCGAGGAGCACGGCGAGAAGATCTACTTCTTCTGCGAGAACGATGCCGAGTTCCTCTGTGTGTTCTGCAGGGAGGGTCCCACGCACCAGGCGCACACCGTGGGGTTCCTGGACGAGGCCATTCAGCCCTACCGGGTAAGAAGTGTAGCTTTACCTAGGGCCTGTTTGGGGCAGGATGATGTCCTGTTATGAGGGGAGGAAATCGGGCGGGGATCTGGATGAAAGGCTTCCACATCAGGGAACCCTAAGGTTACAGGGACTTTCGAGGCATTCCCAGACTGAAGGCAGATAGGGCTCCACTTGGATGTGTGGTAGTTCCTGGTCTGGGGGGAACTTCAGCTCCAGCTCTCAGAGGACCCCACAGAGGTGGAGTGCAAAGAACTGTAGCCTTGGCTTCACTCACTATGGAAAGAAAGCTCCAATGCCGAGTGGGATCTTCTGCAGATTATGGGCAGGGTAAACTTGTTCTCCCAGGATCCAGACTGGAAATGGGGTTTATAGGGCCCTGACTGCCAGGGCGCAGAGGGGAGGGAGGAGCTGGGAAGGGGAACCTGCTAGCACTGCTCTTCTTCTTGAGAAAGGGAGGGTGGCAGTAGTCCAGAATTGTGAGAATTCCCCATCTGGCCTTGGGGCACTTTCCTGTCAGCCTCTCAGATCTCTCTCTTGTCATCCAGTCACCAGGTCTGGAAGTGGTTACCTTAGAAACATCTCCCAAATCTTTAATTCTGCCTTATCCTCACAGCCAGGTTCTCCCTATCTCTTGCGCAGACTTTGCAGTCTCCATGGCATTTCCTGTCTCCATTCTCACCCTTTCCAGTCACCTTCCAATCTGCTGGGAGACAGATCCTCCTAAAACACAAAGTCACTCATCTGCACAAAATCCTCCCATGTATACCTAGTGCCCAAAGAAAGTCCAAGGTCTTTAGCAAGACATTCAAGGCCCTTTGCAGTCGGGATCCTTCCTCCCTGTCCGGCCTCATCGCTCAGCCTCCCTCCTCAAGGCACCACGTGTCTGGCCAGACTGAGCTGCACTTGCTGTTTTTTCCTGAGTTGTCTTATTCATTCCTGCTTCCAATACTTTTTGCACATAGTCTCTTCCTCCTAGAATACTCTTCTCCCTTCCTCCCACCTCTCTCTCTGTTTTTAAGTATACAATTCAGGGGCACTAAGTCCTTTTCTTTTTTTTTTTATTATACATGTTCTGGGATACATATGCAGAACGTGCAGGTTTGTTACATAGGTATATACGTGCCATGGTGGTTTGCTGCACCCATCAATCCATCATCTACATTAGGTATTTCTCCTAATGCTATCCCTCCCCTAGTCCCCCAAGCCCTGACAGGCCCCGATGTGTGATGTTCCCCTCCCTGTGTCCATGTGTTCTCATTGTTCACCTCCCACTTATGAGTAAGAACATGTGGTGTTTGGTTTTCTGTTCCTGTGTTAGTTTGCTGAGAATGATGGTTTCCAGCTTCATCCATATCCCTGCAAAGGACATGAACACATCTTTTTTATGCCTGCATAGTATTCCATGGCATATATGTGCCATATTTTCTTTATCCAGTCTATCATTGATGGACATTTGGGTTGGTTCCAAGTCTTTGCTATTGTGAACAGTGCTGCAATAAACATATGTGTGCATGTGTCTTTACAGTAGGATAATTTATAATCCTCTGGGTATATACCCAGTAATGGGATTGCCAGGTCAAATGGTATTTCTCATTCTAGATTCTTGAGGAGTTGCCACACTGTCTTCCACAACGGTTGAACTAATTTACACTCCCACCAACATTGTAAAAGCATTCTTATTTCTCCACATCATCTCCAGCATCTGTTATTTCCTGACTTTTTAATGATCACCATTCTAACTGGTGTGAGATGGTATCTCATTGTGGTTTTGATTTGCATTTCTCTAATGACCAGTGATGATGAGCTTCTTTTCATAGGTTTGTTGGCCACATAAATGTCTTCTTTTGAGAAGTGTCTGTTCATATCCTTCACCTACTTTTTGATGGGGCTGTTTGTTTTTTTCTTGTAAATTTGTTTAAGTTCTTTGTAGATTTTGGATATTAGCCCTTTGTCAGATGGATAGATTGCAAAATGTTTCTCCCATTCTGTAGGTTGCCTGTTCACTCTGATGATAGTTTCTTTTGCTGTGCAGAAGCTCTTTCATTTAATTAGATACCATTTGTCAATTTAGGCTTTTGTTGCCATTGCTTTTGGTGTTCTAGTCATGAAGTCTTTGCCCATGCCTATGTCCTGAATGGTATTGCCTAGGTTTTCTTCTAGGGTTTTTATGGTTTTAGGTCTTACGTTTAAGTCTTTAATCCATCTTGAGTTAATTTTTATTTCAGGTGTAAGGAAGGGGTCCAGTTTCAGTTTTCTGCATATGGCTAGCCAGTTTTCCCAACACCATTTATTAAATAGGGAATCCTTTCCCCATTGCTTGTTTTTGTCAGGTTTGTCAAAGATCAGATGGTTGTAGATGTGTGGTGTTATTTCTGAGGCCCTTCTTCTGTTCCATTTGTCTATATGTCTGTTTTGATACCAGACATATTTGATATCATATACTACAGCCTTGTAGTATAGTTTGAAGTCAGGTAGCATGATGCCTCCAGCTTCGTTCTTTTTGCTTAAGATTGTATTGGCTATGTGGGCTCTTTATTGGTTCCATATGAAATATAAAGTAGTTTTTTCTAATTCTGTGAAGAAAGTCAATGGTAGCTTGATAGGGATAACACTGAATCTATAAATTACTTTGGGCAGTATGGCCATTTTCACAATATTGATTCTTCCTATCCATGAGCATGGAATGTTTTTCCATTTGTCTGTGTTCTCTCTGATTTCCTTGAGCAGTGGTTTGTAGTTCTCCTTGAAGAGGTCCTTCACATCTGTGGGCACTAAGTCCTTTTCTCTCCCTCTCTATTCAACTGGAAATTTATCTTTCAAGGCACATTGTAAATGTTTTCTGCTTTCCAAACCTTCCCTTAGGCCTACAGGCAGAGCTGACCTCTGTGTTCCCATCTCACTGTGTGTACCCCTGGACTATTGCATTTATCTATCTGTATTTTAATCACTTGACATTGACTTCTTCCTGAGATGGTGGTCTCTTTAGGGCAAGGACTGGGCCTTTTCCACCTTTGAACCCCTCAGCACTCAACAGTGTGCCCAGGATGTGATAGTTAATAATTGTGAGTTGAATTATTAATTCAGTCACCTCTATCCACCCATTCTTCTCCCCACAGGATCGTCTCAGGAGTCGACTGGAAGCTCTGAGCACGGAGAGAGATGAGATTGAGGATGTAAAGTGTCAAGAAGACCAGAAGCTTCAAGTGCTGCTGGTACAGGCCACGTCACTGGCTACCTTTTCCTTTGAAGGTTTTCTTAAGAGACTCTGGGGAAACCCGTTGGCTGGTATCTGTTTCCTGGCTGAAAAGAACTGACAAACTGTTCTCGTTCACCTTCCTGTGGCTGCACAAAGGCATTTGGGATCTCAGACCATGAGCACTAGAAGTGGTTCTGATGTCTTGCAATCCAAGATCCATCTTGTATATCACATTTTACAGAGCAGAAAACTTAGGACCAGAAAAGCAATGCTCCCAAGGCCACATAGCAAAGCTGAAGTTCATGAGGAACCTGGATTTCTTGACCCTTAATTCATTGTTCTTTCCATCCTAGTCTGTTTGCCTGAACACACCACCTTCAGATGGGAAGCTTGGGGTCAAAAACATATGTTAGTGTCGGGATTCTAGTCCTGACTACAGGCTGACCTTGAGGAGAGTAGGCTGATGGTGTGGCTACATCTGGATCCCTCACGCCTCTCTTTTCATGCTATAAAGTTATGGAGGAATCACAGTGTGAGGATTTCTGGTACCTTGACCAAGGAGAGAGTGTGGGGACAAAGCAACCTATCCACCATCCCTCAGCTCTCATCAACGTATGCCCTGTAGTTGGTGATTTCCACGGCTAAAACCAAAATTACACACTCTCCCACTAAGTTGTGTTGACTCCAATCACAACTTCCTTTTGCCTCTAAGAAATTATTACAGTCTTCCCCACCTAACTCTAAGAAGGCATAGTAGGGTTATGATGGTATTGTAGTTGTGGAAATATTTTTGAAAAGTTCAACATCATTCTGAGAGCATAATGTAGCATTATTATTAGAGTATCTAGCTAAGACAGTAGCACAGCCCTCATCATTGGTAAGTTCATCCTGAGACCTAACTACTTCTAGGCATATTAGTAAATGGAATGAGTCTTGGACCAGTTGCTCCCTATCCCTGTTAATCAATAATAAGTATATAGATGATCATCCTGGAAGCTATCTCTGAGCCCCTTCCTAACCATGTCTGCCTTTTATCCCTTGAAGACTCAGATCGAAAGCAAGAAGCATCAGGTGGAAACAGCTTTTGAGAGGCTGCAGCAGGAGCTGGAGCAGCAGCGATGTCTCCTGCTGGCCAGGCTGAGGGAGCTGGAGCAGCAGATTTGGAAGGAGAGGGATGAATATATCACAAAGGTCTCTGAGGAAGTCACCCGGCTTGGAGCCCAGGTCAAGGAGCTGGAGGAGAAGTGTCAGCAGCCAGCAAGTGAGCTTCTACAAGTGAGAGACACTTCACCACTTTGTAGGATAAGAGAGGGACTCCACGGGGAAGGGGGTGGGCACCATGCTTTGGGCTGGAGAGAGGCAGGAAAGGGAAGTGGAGAGAGGTTAACGGGGTGCAGATCCAGAGGGGCTGGAGACTTGCCCAAGTCATACACTGTGGTCATGTTAAGGGGTTTAGGGTCAGACAGTCTTGGATTTGAATGTTGGCTCTTCCAATTGTGTGACTTGAGTGAGTCTCTTAGCCTCTCTAAACATGGGGACAGCAATAGCACCTCCCTCATAAAGTTATTGCAAAATTATAAGAAACAATCCATAAAAAATGCTTGGCATGATTCCTGATATACAGAAAGAACTCAATAACTGGTGTCTGCTATGGTTATGAATATGTGATCCTGGCTCACATCAGGTCCAGCTGATAACTGAAGGCAGGCCCCTGCTCTCTACCACCTCCTAATCATTGCAGACACAACCCACCCCCACGATAAGGCTGAAACAGGGAAACCAGCACAAATGAACTGACTACAGAAACCCAAATTAGTAAGAAAACATGATGTAAAAGAACAATCTAATGAGTAGGTAATTAAACAGGACAACTCTCTGCAGAAGGAGAGTTTTGAGTTCATATTTTAAGGGAAAAGTGATGTACAGAATCCCTGACAGGAAGGACTTATGGAAACTAAATGTATGTTCTTGTCTTTCTTTTGCAGGATGTCAGAGTCAACCAGAGCAGGTAGGGCCCACTCCCCGGTCCTGCCTCCTTTTACTCAACATCAAGACTGAATGGGAAGGGGCAGGGGCACTTACTGCCACCCACTTTGCCAGGAAAGCAAAGGCACTCTGGCAGACACACTGTCTCATTCAACTGTGCACAAACAGTCCAAACTCACTAAAGATTTGCGTTCTAAAGGTTCATTTTTAAATTGATTGGTTGGTATTGGGGACACATTTTTTCCCCTAGAAGTGAAGTTATAAATAATAATCATGTTTTTAGGTTGATCCAGGAACATTTATTTAATCTATGAAATTATTAGTACTTGAGTCAGTATCTAACACCATTTAAAATGTAATTTAAAGGGGGAATACTTTCTGTAGACTATGATAAGCATGGAAACCAGGAATACCAGCCTGTTCTTTCATTCATTCATTTTTTACACACATCTCTGGTTTCCTTCAGAATTTTCTAATGCTACTGTAAAAGGACAGCCACCAGGAGCCAGTGGCATTGTAAATGCATGGCCCTTTCCTTCCCTGTCTGCTATAAGCATTAGCAGTCTGCACTGAGATGAAGAGAGGTGTAGTGACTAGGGAACAATTGTCACGTGCTTTGTGCCTATTCCCGTGCAGGGAGGATAAACCCAGGGTCCATGAATCAGGAAGTGTCTCCAAACATGCTTTTCAAAGAGCATTAGAGGTTTAGATCTAGAAGGGCTTGGAGGTCTTCCAGTCTGAGGAAGAAACTGAGACCCAGGGGGTGAAGAGTCTTCAAGGTAATGCAGCAAGTGTCTAATGAGGACTGAGCTGGGACCAGAATCAGGAGTTTTTTTCATTGCAATATATATTTTCGTTGATCCTTTTTTTTTCTTCCCTTCTAGCCTCTTTTCCTTTACAAATAGCAGCATACACAAGGGTAGTTTAAGGCTGTTTTCAAATGGTACCCTGTTGCCCTCTAGAGACCAAAAGGGGTAATGATCTCTGTCCCTCAGCCCCTACAGAACCAAACATTCTCCTAAAGGGGCTTACCTCCAATTCTTGAGAAGTGATTATCCTTAGTTCCTCTTAGGTTTAACTGAAATGCCTACTATTTTAGTAACTACACATTTCCAGCAAAAGTAAAGAAATGATACTCAATTTCATTATTCACCACAGACGCCAAGATCATTCTTTAGTCTGATTTTAGCCTCACGTGGTCTCACCCGAACATTTGTTTTTGGAATTTGGACCTAACTGGTTACCAAACCTGTCTGCAGGTGTGAGATGAAGACTTTTGTGAGTCCTGAGGCCATTTCTCCTGACCTTGTCAAGAAGATCCGTGATTTCCACAGGAAAATACTCACCCTCCCAGAGATGATGAGGATGTTCTCAGGTAAAGGGGAAGGCGCCACAGTTTTCCCCAGTCCCATTAGCTGCCCTCCTGTCTTCCACCCATCTCCATCCTTCTCTGCCCTTGAAACCTGGCTCGAGACATCTTCCCTCCCCAGAGCCTTCCCTTAGTGATCTCAATTTATTCAGGGGCACTATTCCCAGAGCATCTCCTCCACTCCCTAAGGACAGGTGCAGGACTGAGAGTCCAGGAGGGTGAGGACCCTTCTCCTCCACTAGACCACAGCAGAAGCCGAGTCTTCTGTCCTCATTTTCACATTGTACTCAAGTCACCTTGCCCCTGGGGGTGCCTATAAGAAGTAATAAGTCACAGATCTCTCTTTCTATTTCTGCTTCCCTCAGAAAACTTGGCGCATCATCTGGAAATAGATTCAGGTAAACAGCTTGGGATTTGGGGAGTCATTCTTCCATTCATCCATTCAATCCATGGCAGCAAACAGAGCAATAAAATGCATGAATTCTGGAGCTTGATTGCTTGAGTTCTCGATTCCAGTTCTTGCTAGCTCTGAGACACTGGGCAAGTTATTAAGCCTCTGTCCCACAATATTTTCTTCATCAGTAAAATGAAAATAAAAGTACTGTACCTGTCCCATAAGTAGCTGTGAGGACAAAATAAATTAATACATGCAAAGAGCTTAGTATATTACCTGACTCATAGTAAGTGCTCAATTAATGTCATCTACTTGTGTAGATATTACTCGTTGAAAAATACTTATCAAGCCCTAGTTTTTTGAGAGCATTGTGCTGGGCTCTCTACTGATTTGAACAAAAAATGTGCAATTTTTTAAAAATCACATTTATTTTTAAATTGGTGCTTAATTTAGAAGTTGTTTCCATAAGCATCACCTCACTCACTCTGGTATAGGTAAGTGCTTTTCAAACTTAATATGCAGAAACGTCTCCTAGGGATCCTGTTAAAATGCAGATTCTGATTTAGTAGGGTGGGATGGGGCCCAATATTCTGCATTTCTAACAAACACCCAGGTGGTGGGGATGCTGCTGGTCCCTCCCGCTGCACTTTGAGAAGCAAATCCTTAACAGCACCACTTGCTGATTAGGTAGAAGGGCGGTTCAGAGAAGTGGCCCAATGGCAGGCTGCCCAAGTCCAGTACTCCTTCTGCCTCCCACGTGCGTTGCCTGCTCTAGGAACATCTGTGGTTGCCGCCCGCTGTTGATGTCTGCGCGCTCCTCCCTCTAGGGGTCATCACTCTGGACCCTCAGACCGCCAGCCGGAGCCTGGTTCTCTCGGAAGACAGGAAGTCAGTGAGGTACACCCGGCAGAAGAAGAACCTGCCAGACAGCCCCCTGCGCTTCGACGGCCTCCCGGCGGTTCTGGGCTTCCCGGGCTTCTCCTCCGGGCGCCACCGCTGGCAGGTTGACCTGCAGCTGGGCGACGGCGGCGGCTGCACGGTGGGGGTGGCCGGGGAGGGGGTGAGGAGGAAGGGAGAGATGGGACTCAGCGCCGAGGACGGCGTCTGGGCCGTGATCATCTCGCACCAGCAGTGCTGGGCCAGCACCTCCCCGGGCACCGACCTGCCGCTGAGCGAGATCCCGCGCGGCGTGAGAGTCGCCCTGGACTACGAGGCGGGGCAGGTGACCCTCCACAACGCCCAGACCCAGGAGCCCATCTTCACCTTCACTGCCTCTTTCTCCGGCAAAGTCTTCCCTTTCTTTGCCGTCTGGAAAAAAGGTTCCTGCCTTACGCTGAAAGGCTGAAGTGGGGCGCGCGAAGGGCGGCGAAGCGGAGACGGCGGCTCTCCGGGATCCAGCTCCGCCCCTGGCCAGTGTGCGGCCCGGGGGCTCCCTGTGCCCGCGTGAGGCGAGAGAACAGGGGACTTGAGTCTCGAACAGCGGTTGTTTTTACTTTATTTATCTTAGGCCCTCAGCTCCCTGACGTCCTGAGCCTCCCTGTGACGCTCTGGCCTTCTCTGCACCTCAGAGTGCAGAACCACAGACGGCTTCGGCTGTGCCTAGGGCAACAGCCAACCTAGGAGCCAGCGGGCTTTCGGGGAAAAAAAAGAAAAAGACATCTAAAATAAAATGTTTAAACTGTTTCAAAATAATTATCTTGGGAAAAATCAGGGTTTTGCTGGACTTGCACTAATTTGTACAGTTAACTTCGTACTTTGACACACACCTGAAGATGCCTCCACCTTTGTAGGGCTTAGGGCCTTTTTATCAGCCCTGGGTGGACCCCAGGGCCCCTTCCTTTCCCTTCCCTTCTGGTCATTTCTCTGGACTTGTAGAGAATGTCCTAAGAAAGTGTGACTCACAGACCTCTGGATTCCATGTGTCCAATTAGCGCTGATGGGACTGGAGAAAGGCTTAAATCCAATGGGATCTGCCTGTGTTGGCAATTTAGGGCCGAGATGGCTCGAGGGAGTAGATGCAGAGAGGAAGGGTGATGATCCCTCTGTGACCAAGACACAATCCTGTCCCTTCTTTTAGTCAGGATATCCCTGATGACAGACAGTGGGACAATCACCAGGCCCCATTGTTTAATAAAACGAGGCTTTTGCTCAGGTCTAACTAACCTCTCAAATATTTGTTATTACTGCAGTTATTATTTGGACACAGAAACAGACCACAGGTTAAAATAACTTTAAAAAGCAAAGTATTAATCCCTATACAAGTGATGTTTCCTTCCACCCCTACCCTTTCTCCTCTCAAGTTGAACACTCACATTCTCACCCTTCCACCCCAACCTCTGAAAAAAATCTGCCTTCAACTCCAATCCAGGTTCCCTGTAGTGTAAGACAATACCCTGTGTACAAGAACACTTTAGGGTCGGCACGGTGGCTTGCGCCAGTAATCCCAACACTTTGGGAGGCTGAGGCAGGTAGATCACTTAAGGTCAGGAGTTTAAGACCAGCCTGGACAGCATGGTGAAACCCTGTCTCTATTAAAAATATAAAAATTAGCTGGGCGAGATGGCAGGCGCCTGTAATCCCAGCTGCTCAGGAGGCTGAGGCAGGAGAATCACTTAAACCAGGGAGGCGGAGGTTGCAGTGAGCTAAGATCAAGCCACTGCATTCCAGCCCGAGTGACGGAGTGAGACTCCATCTCAAAAAAACAAAAAACAAAAAACAGGCTAGGCGCGGTGGCTCACGGTGGTAGGCCGAGGCAGGTGGGTCACCTGAGGTCAGGAGTTTGAGCCTGGCCAACATGGTGAAACCCCATCTCCACTAAATATACAAAAATTAGCTGGGTGTGGTGGCAGACCAGCTACTTGGGAGGCTGAAGCAGGGGAATCACTTGAACCCAGGAGGCAGAGGTTGCAGTGAGCTGAGATTGTACCACTGCACTCCAGCCTGGGTGACAGAGTGAGACTCTGTCTCCAAGAAACAAACAAACAAATAAAACAAAGAACATCTTCATTATTGCGTAAGCCCTGCTCCTAAAGCATGGGTCAGATGTTTTAAAAGCACTCAAAGAGTTTGGACCATATGTGAATTTTATTTAAAAATTGTAACATGAATCAATGTGATGTGAATAATTAACCCTAACTTGACTGTTGGGGAAATAGAGGTTCTTGATATAAAAGAAGCCAGACAATGTGGGGTTTCTTCTGCCCCCCAGTGTGGTGAGCAGAGCCATCCTTATCTGACCCAAGTGGCTTGGTAGTCCAACCTAGTAGTAGTAGTAGTGGTAGTAGTAGTAGTATTGCCCAATGCTTATTATAAAAGTTGTATATGCTCATGGTTAAGAAAATTCAAACATTTTCAAAGTGTATAAATAAAAACCTCTTTCCCCACCCACTCAACACTTCCCCTTGCCACTCCCCATAGTTAAACATTGATATCAATTTTTTGTATATCCTGCAAGTTTTGAATACAAATATATATTGCTTTCTCTTTTTTTTTACATAAATTAGATTATGCCATAAGTATTCTTTGCAACCCCTCCAAAAGAAAAACTATGTGCAACACATGCTAATTGTACCATTGGTCAAATTTGTTTTAATTATATCTTCATTTGAACCTTACAACAAGCCTGTGAAATACATAAGACCTATTTTGTTTTTCTCATGTGGTGGTTGAGAAAACTGACACACAGTTAAATGAACTTGTCTAACAATTTTCACAGCTGGTCCTTGTGACCTGCTGAAGTAGAATCTACCTGTCCTGGAGCTCAGTGCAGTCACATTTCCACCACACTCAGACTTCTAAAACAGACACATCCCAATGGGGCTATGTTTCATTTGCTACCCATTGAATTCATGTTTTAGACAGGGCATTTTTGGTTTCATATGAAACAGAAAAAAAAAAAAAGAACCGATAAACCATAAGCACACTGTATTTCCAAGTCTCTGGTACTTCTAATTTTAGAGTGGTCCAGATAATTTAAAAGTGTGGATATGCACATTTGGAGGCTTTGTGCCTATATTAATAAATTGTTCTGCATAAGAAAGGAAAGAGAAATTTAGAAGCCAAAAGAAATTTGGGAGTGGCTAAGACCTCAGGGTGAGGACTGAGAGCTGCCTGAAGGAAAAGCAGAGGAAAATTATTCATTTGGTGGTCCAGCTGGAGCCACAGGATGGCTGTGTTCCTGTGTTTGTGATGTAAAACTGTCCTCTATCTCCCCTACAGGATCCTCTGCACAACCTGCCTTGCCCCTAATGCTTTTTGTAGGTGTTCCTGAATTCCAAGTGCTGAGTTCTGTCCACTACTGGGCAGGAGGCAAAGAGATCCCACAAAATAATTGCTGGGCTGCTGGACTATGTGAGGAGCAGTCACACTGATGTGCCTCGGAGAACCAGAGGGGTTATTGTAAGGACCAAGGTGGGACCTATAAGGGAATCTCTCTGGAGCCCAGGAACCGTGATGACAGTGAGCTGGTTGTAATGGGAACTAGAGCCTAGGCAGATGCATTGTCTCTCTGGTCGGCTTACTTTGCTCTGGATGTGGGGCCCATTCTCCTGTCTATAAGGAAGCTTCCTAGCTCTACTCATGGCCTTTATTTTCTTTTTCATTTTCAGTTCTTTCCTTCTTTCAGACTTCCAGTGTAGAGTGTTGACTCAGTCATACCTCTCAGTTCTTGGAACACTATCATCATCAGTCCATGCAAGGTCTTCTGGTTTTATTTGTATTTTCTCCTCTCTCCCCAATTTTTATTCCCATTCTCCTCACTCCCAAAGGCAGCTACTCCCTAATGTTTTTCTTTTTTAAAAAATTTTTCAACTTTTAAGTTCAGGGGTACATGTGCAAGATGTGCAGGTTTGTTACATAGGTAAATGTGTGCCATAGTAGTCAGCTACACAGATCATCCTATCACCCAGGAATTAAGCCCAGCACCCATTAGCTATTCTTCCTGATCCTCTCCCTCCTCCCACCCCCGCCCTCCAACAGGGCCCAGTGTGTGTTGTTCCCCCCGCCTCCTGCCATGTGTCCATATGTTCTCATTATTTAGATCCTACTTATAAGTGAAAACATGCTGTATTTGGTTTTCTGTTCCTACTTTAGTTTGCTAAGGATAACAACCTCCAGTTCCATTCATGTCCCTGCAAAGGACATGATCTCATTCCTTTTTATGGCTGTAAAATATTCCATGGTATATGTGTACCACATTTTCTTTATCCAGTCTATCATTGATGGGCATTTAGTTTGATTTCATATCTTTGCTATTGTGAATACTACTGCAATGAACATACACATGCATGTATCTTTATAGAGAACGATTTCTATTCCTTTGGGTATATACCCAGTAAATGAGATTGCTGGGTTGAATGGTATTTCTGCCTCTAGGTTTTTGAGGAATTGCCACACAGTCTTCCACAATGGTTGAACTAATTTACACTCACACCAACAGTGTTAAAAGCATTCGTTTTTCTTCACAACCTTGCCAGCATCTGTTGCTTTTTGACTTTTTAGTAATAGCCATTTTGACTGGTGCGAGATAGTATCTCATTGTAGTTTTGATTTGATTTTCACCTATAACCATCTGATATTTGACAAACCTGACAAAAATGTCTCTAGTAGCAAGTATTACTAATCTATTAATTACTAAACTACCTTTAATCCAAGAGTATTTGTTCTTTGTGCTCAGGATTTCTTTGGCTATTTGGGCTTTTTTTGGGAGGGGGGGGTTGGTCCATATGAATTTTAGGATTTTTTTTTCAAATTCTGTGAAGAATGATGTTGATATTTTGTTAGGGATTGCATTTAATCTGCAGATTACTTTGAACAATATGGTCATTTTAATGATGTTGATATTCCTTCTAATCCATGAGCATAAGGTGTTTTTCCATTTGTGTTGTTTTGAATTTCTCTCAACAGTATTTTGTAGTTTTCCTTGTAAAGATCTTTTGCCTCCTTGGTTAAATTCAATCCTAAATTGTTTTTGGTAGCAAAAATTTCTAAATGAGATTGCCTTCTTGATTTCTTTGTTGGCTAAATCATTACTGATGTAAAGAAATGCTACTGACTTTTGCATATTAATTTTGTAGCCTGAAACTGTACTGAACTCATTTATCATATCTAAGAGTTTTTTGGTGAAATCACACATTGTGTTTCTTTCTTTTGCCTGATCCTTATAGCTAGGATTTTAGTACTATGTTGAATAAGAGTATTGAGAGTAGACATCCTTGCCTTGTTCCAGTGCTTAGAGGAAAAGCTTTCCACTTTTCCTCATTCAGCATGTTAGCTATGGGTTTGTTACATACAGCTCATTTGAATTTGAGGTTTGTTCCGTCTATGCCTAGTGTGTTGTATGTTTTTATCTTAAAAGAATGTTAAATTTTATCAAATGCTTTTTCTGCATCTATTAAGATGATCATATGGTTTTTGTTCTACATTCTATTGATAATATGTATCATGCTTATTTATTCATATTGAAACATCTTTGCATCTCTACTATAAATCCCACTTGATTTTGATGTAGTATTTTTCGATGTGCTGTTGGGTTTGGTTTGCTAGTATTTTGTTGAGGATTTTTGTATCTATCTATGATTTTGTATCTATGTTCATTAGGGATATTGACCTATAATTTTCTTTTTGTTGGTGTTGTGGTGTATCTGTCTGGTTTTAGTATTAGGGTGATGCTGACCTCATATAATTAGTTAGGGAAAATTCCTTCCTCTTTGACTTGTTTGAACAGTTTCAGGAGGATCGGTATTAGTTCTTTGTATGTTTAGTAGAATTCAGCTGTTAATCCCTCCAGTCCTAGGCTTTTCTTCTTTGAGAGACTTTTAATTACTGATTCAATCTTGCTATTAATTATTGGTCTGCTCAGGTTTTCTATTTTTTTCTGATTCAGTCTTGGTAGGTTGTGTGTTTCCAGGAATTTATCCACTTCCTCTAGATTTTCCAATTTTATCTAGTTGTTTATAACAGTCTCTGATGATCTTTAATATTTCTGTGATGTCAGTTGTAATGTCTCCTTTTTCAATTCTGATTTTGTTCATATGGGTCTTCTGTCTTCTTGGTTAGTCTAGCTAGTAGCTTATCAATTCTGTATATCTTTTCAAAGAACCAATTTTTCATCTCATTGATCCTTTGTATTTCTTTAAGTCTCTACTTTCTGCTCTGATCTTTATTATTTCTTTTCTTCTGCTAATTTGGGGTTTGGTTTGTTCTTGCTTTTCTAGCTCCTTCAGGTACATTGTTGGATTGTTAATTTGTAATCTTTCTACTTTTTTAATGTAAGCATTTATTGCTGTAAACTTTCCTCTTAGCACTGCCTTTGCTGAATCCCACAGGTTTTATGTTTCCATTTTCATTTGTTTTTAGATTTTTTTTTTAATTTTCATCTTAATTTCTTTTTTTTTTTTTTTTCCAGATGGAGTTTTGCTCTTGTCTCCCAGGCTGGAGTTCAATGGTGTAAACTCGGCTAACTGCAACCTCCACCTCCCGGGTTCAAGCGGTTCTCCTGCCTCAGCCTCCCAAGTAGCTGAGATTACAGGCGCCTGCCACCACGCCCAGCTAATTTTTTTGTATTTTTCACAGAGACAGGGTTTCACCATGCTGGCCAGGCTGGTCTCGAACTTCTGACCTCAGGTGATCCATCCGCCTCAGCCACCCAAAGTGCTGGGATTACAGGTGTGAGCCACCATGCCTGGCCTTCTATCTTAATTTGTTCATTGACCCAATGGTCATTCAGGACCATGTGGTTTAATATCTATGTATTTGTATAGTTTCCAAAGTTCCTCTTGGTATTGATTTCTCATTTTATTCTATTGCAGTCTGAGAAAATATTTGATATGATTTTAATTTTTAAAAATTTATTGAGACTTGTTTTGTCGCCTAATATATGGTCTATGTTGGAGAAGGTTCCATGTTCTGATGAAAAGAATATATATTCTGCAGTTGTTGAATAGAATGTTCTGTAAATGTTAGGTTCATTTGGTCTAAAGTCCAGTTTAAATCCAATGTTTCTCTGTTGATTTTCTGTCTAGATAATCTGTCTAATGCTGAGCATGAGGTGCTAAAGTCCCCCACTATTATTGTATTCCAATCTGTCTCTCTCTTTAGAGCTAGTAATATTTGCTTTATGAATGTGGGTGCTCTGGTGTTTGGTGTATATATATTTAGAACTGTTGAATCTTCTTGCTGGATTGATCCCTTTATCATTATATAATGACATTTTTGGCTTTTTTTTTTCACAATTCTTGACTTAAAGTCTGTTGTATCTGATATAAGTATAGCTACTCCTTCTCACTTTTTGTCTCCATTTGTATGGAATATCTTTTTCCATCCCTTTACTTTGTCTATATTTGTCTTTACTGGTAAGAAACTTTACTGAGTTTCTTGAAACAGCTTACAGGTGTATTATCTTTTTAAATAAATCCAGCCATTCTACATCTTTCAAGTAAAGAATTTATTCCATTTACATTCAAGATTATTATTGATATATGAGACTTTGTTCCTGTCATATTGTTGTTTTCTGATTGTTTTATATATTCTTTGTTCCTTTCTTCTTGTTTGTCATTGTGGTTTGGTGGATTTCTTTAGAGGCACCATTTGAGTCCTTTCTCTTCTTCCTTTGTGTGATTGCTTTACTAGCGAGTTTTATACTTTTGTGTGTTTTTATGATGGTAAATATCATCCTATCACTTCCAGGTTTAGGACTCCCTTGAGCATTTCTCATAGGACTGATCTAGTGGTAACAAATTCCCTCAGTATTTGCCTGTCTGGGAAAGACTTTATTTCTTTTTCCTTTATACTTTAATTTGGCTGGATCTAATATTCTTGGCTGACAGTTATTTTCTTTCATCATTTTGTATATACCATCCCATTATCTTTTGGCCTGTAGGGTTTCTGCAGAGAAATCCACTGTTTGTTAGTCTGATGAGTTTTCCTTTTAGGTGACTAGGCACTATTCTGTTGCTATTTTTAGAATTTGCTCTTTATTTTGACTTTAGACAGTCTAATTATAATGTGCTATGGAGAAGACCCTTTGCATTGCATCTGCCTGGGAAACATTGAGCCTCCTATACCTGCATGTCCAAATCCCTTGCTAGGCTTGGAAAGTTTTCATCTATTATTTCATTATATAGATTTTCTAATCCTTTCATTTCTTCATCATCCTCGGGGATACTAACAATTCATATATTCAGTTGCTTTATGCTGTCCCAAATATCATGAAGGCTTTGCTAATTTTTTTATCTAGGCAAAGTAAATTGAATTTTTTAAAATTATTTTTTCTTTATTTTTGTCTGACTAGGTTATTTCAAAAGAGCTGCCTTCAAGCTCTGAGACTCTTTCTTCTCCCCAATCTAGTTCTATTGTTGAAGCTTTCAAAGGTATTTTGTATTTCCTTTAATAAATTCTTCATATCCAGATTTTCTATTTTTCTTTTAAAAAACAATCTATTGCTTTATTAAATTTCTCATTCATATCCTACATTATTATCTTTTTTCTTTCTATTGTTTTTCAGAATTCTCTTATATATCACTGAGTTTCTTTTTTTTTTTTTTTTTGAGATGGAGTCTCACTCTGTCACCCAGGCTGCAGTGCAGTGGCACGATCTCAGCTCACTGCAAGCTCCGCCTCCCGGGTTCACGCCATTCTCCTGCCTCAGCCTCCCGACTAGCTGGGACTACAGGCACCCACCACCACACCCAGCTAATTTTTTCTATTTTTAGTAGAGACGGGGTTTCACCGTGTTAGCCAGGATGGTCTCAATCTCCTGACGTCGTGATCCACCCACCTCGGCCTTCCAAAGTGCTGGGATTACAGGCATGAGCCACCGTGCCCAGCCTACTGAGTTTCTTTAAAATCAGTACTTTGAATTCTTTATCTAGAATTTCATGAATTTCTTTCTGATTGATAACTGTAGCTGGAGAGGTATTGTGTTCCTTTGTTGGTGTCATATTTCTTTGTTCTTTAGTTTTCTGTGTCCTTACATTGATATCTGCACATTTAGTTGCAACAGTCACTTCTTCCATTTTTGAAATTGCTTTCATAGGGGAGGATTTTTTTCCTGAAGATTTTACGTGTTGTTTGTTGAGTAGGGTGCTTTGGCTTTGATTTTGAGTGCCTATAGTAGTGTGATCCCTGTATGATTTATTTGGCAGTATACAACATCAGTGGTATCTGTGACTTCCTCATTGACTTAAGGTGCACTTATTAGTGAAGGCTGTGGTGAAGTTTGGCTGGGAACTAAGATGCTAGGTGGGCCAGTCTTCAGGCCCTAGTGATGGCAGCGGTGGGTTGAATGAGCCTGTGCTAGGGCCCACAGAGTGGCTTAAACTGACAACAGCGTTAGTGGGTCTTGGAGGGCCAATTATTGGGCCTTCAGGTGACTTGCTCAGATGCTAGCAGTGGCAGCAGTGGGCCAGACATGTGGGCAACTTCTCAGGCTCCTGGGCAGCTGGTGAGAAATGGGTAATGGCAGTAGCAGTGGTGGAACAACCTGCTAGGACCCAAGCAGTCTGTGCTGGTGTTGGTGGTGGCTGTGACAAGTTGGGCAGGCTAGTACCCTGACCCACTGGTAGCATGTGTGGGTGGGTGTCAGTTGTGGTGGTATTGGTAGATTGAGTTGGACTGACCTCAGATCCTGACAGGAATGATTCAGATGCCAGTGGTGGTAGATTGGGCTGGGCAATTTCCGGGCCCCTGGATGATGTGCTTGTGTACTGGGGGGATGGGATCAGGCCAGCAGACCTGTCCTCAGGGCCCCCTGCAATGCATTCAGGTGCTAGCTGTGATAGACAAGAGATGGAGAGGTCCCCAGACCACTGGCAGAATGCTCAGGTGTGGGCTGGCTGTGGTGGCTGCACTGTAGTCCTGCAACCAGGGAAGGCAGGGCCACTCTCAGCTGGCGCATCATGAGCAAGTAGCTGTGGGAAGTGTCATCTGCTCACACCTTTGTCCACACCAGCCCATAGCAGCAGTGGTGGGATTTGTCCTAGGAACGTGCGGAAGTGCCCCGTCTCTACTCTCCCTCCTCAACTTAGCCTTGGCTTGGCGGCAGCAGCCCCAGCCAGGCCCAGGGGCAGAATGCAGACCCGGGTGGTTGAGCTCTCAGAATAATGACTACAGGTTTGCCACCGGGAGGGCAGGACCCCTCTCAGGTGGAAGAGCAAGGACAAGTAGCCACAGGGAGTGCAGTCTTCTCAAGCCCTGGTCTCACAGCAGCCTGTAGCAGTGGCGATGGGATTTGTCCAGGTGGGTGCATGGGAGTGCTCAGTCTCCCATCTCTTTTTTGCCAGGTGGCAGCAGTAGCAGCAGCAACAGCAGCGCCACATCAGTCCGGCCTCAGGTCAAGACTTATGTGATAGGCATTATTCTGGGTACTTGGGATGCATCAGTTTTTAAAAAGTTTCTTTTTAAAGCTCATGCCTGTAATCCCAGCACTTTGAGAGGCCAAAATAGGTGGATCACCTGAGGTCAGGAGTTCATGAACAGCCTGGTCAATATGGCAAAACCCCGTCTCTTCTAAAAACACAAAAAAATTAGCCAGACATGGTGGTGTGCGCCTGTAGTCCCAGGTACTTGGGAGGCTGAGGCAAGAGAATCGCTTGAACCTGGGCAGCGGAGGTTGCCAGTAAGCCAAGATCATGCCACCGCACTCCAGCCTGGGCAACAGAGCGAGACTCCGTCTCTATTAAAAAAAAAAGAGAAAATCTATGGCTCTTTCTGTTCTCCCATAACCATACTCTAAATGCACTCTTTCTGTACCCAGTTTGTCCCTGCTTTAGGACTTTGCTGTTCCCTCTAGCTGATGTGATCTTAGACCTTCCCTCTCACCATTCTGATTTCAGCTCTCATGCCATCTTTTCAGGGAACTCCCTTCTGATCACACATTATAAAATAGATACTAGGTCACTATCTATCACAGACTTATTTCACTTCCTTGCATAGTGCTAATTACTTTTTTTTTTTCAATTTTAACATACTGCCTGTCACCATTTGCTGGAATATAACCTCCAAGAGTGCAGAACTTTGTTAACCTTATCACTGTTGTAACCTAGAAACATCCTGGCACATCACGGGTACTTAATAAATGAATTCAGGAGACATATGAAGCCTGGAGATAACAGATTTGAGAGAATACAGAAAATAGGAGGAAAAGTCAACAAGAAATAATTCAGGCAGGGCACAGTGGCTCACGCCTGTAATTCCAGTACTTTGGGAGGCTGAGGTGGGAGGATCACTTGAGCCCCAGAGCTCAAGGCCACAGTAAGCTACGAGTGCACCATCACTAGAGCCTAGGTGACAGAGTAAGACCATGTCTCTAAAATAATAAAAATTCAGCCAGTTGTGGTGACTCACACCTGTAATCCCAGCAAGGCAAACACAAAATAGTTTGCTGAAAGGTATGAACTGGGTCTTTGGAGGGAGGTATGGGGCAGGGAAATGTTCCTATTTGTAAGAAGCACTGTAGAAAGTTTACCATATGTGCAAGTAGAGTTATACAAAATGAAAAACTATGAATATAAAAAATAAAAAGGGAAAATTTACATGAGCCCACAACTTAGAGAACAGAGAGGAAATATGCTCTTTGCCACTAGCGTAATTTTACAGGTAGTTTCGTATAATCCTCCCTTTTCCATCTTTAAGATGGCAATTTAAAAAATCAGAAAGGACTGCTGGGCGCGATGGCTCACGCCTGTAATCCCAGCACTTTGGGAGGCCGAGGTGGGCGGATCATGAGGTCAGGAGATCAAGACCAACCTGGCTAACATGGTGAAACCCCGTCTCTACTAAAAATACAAAAAAATTAGCCGGGCGTGATGGCGGGCGCCTGTAGTTCCAGCTACTCGGGAGGCTGAGGCAGGAGAATGGCGTGAACCCGGGAGGCAGAGCTTGCAGTGAGCCGAGATGGCGCCACTGCACTCCAAACTGGGAGACAGAGTGAGACTCCATCTCAAAAAAAAAAAAAAAAAAAAAAAAAAAATCAGAAAGGACAAGAAAAACAGTTGACTGTGTTAGGATGCAAGGCTGAATCTCTGCACATTCTATTTCCTCTGAGGCAGTGCTTATTTTCCAAGGAAGAATTTTTGGGTGTGCTATACTGGAGGTCTCCCTTCTCAGGGAGAGTCATCACTTGCTCCAAAACGCTGGACCTCAGCTCAAGGGCACCACTGCAGGAGGAATAAAAAGGTGGAGCCACGCAACAACTCGTCTGTGTTCCGCAGTAGGCTCTTTTTGAGGGACTTCCAGAAATGACAGCATGTGTGCAGAGAACAGAAAGCAAAGTTACACTGTTACAGAAGGCAGAGAAGGAAAACCTTCGGCTACTGCTATCAGTGGAATTTCTCTGTAGCCAGACTGAGGTCTGGTGGCATTTGAGATATAATATAGATATAGACCTACAAATACAGATCTCCAGGCTGTTCATTCAACAAGTCTTTATTGAGCACCTACTCTGTGCCCAGCACTGCACTAGGTGCCATGAGAATACAAGAGTAGTATAAGATGTTATCCGCCCTCCAGGAGCTTACAAAACTAGAGGCAGAAATAAGATGTACGTGTGACTCAGGCAGCATGTGACACACACAAAGTGGGCAGCTCTGAGACAATGGTGGTCAAGTGACCACTGAGGCCCAGAGCCGTTGGAACAGTCTCTTAGAACAGGGTGGAGGACTTAAAACTTGGATGAACAGGGGCTGGCAGAGCACTTGGAATGGGTAAGGACAAGACTGGGAGATCAATTTGGCTGGAGCAGGGGAGCTTGTGTTAAACTGTGATGATGAGGGGCACCTGGACAGAGGTTGGGTCCGTGGGCAATGAGAAGACATGTTACTCCCTCTCTTGACATGAAGACCTGGTGGGCTTGTGGCCTCCTGCTGCCTTCCTTTCCCTGTCTTCCCATCTCCACTCTCTCCTAGGAAAGTGGAACCTGGATGCTGGTAGGGCCAGAGACAGAGGCTTAACACCCTGCTGGGGAACCTGGTCAGAACTCCCGAGGCAGGAGAGGTTCTGCTCCACTGGATGTTTGTCTTGGTGTTTTTGGATGTGCTGATCAAGAGCAAGATGTTCTGGATTCTTAAAACTCCCCTCACAAGGACCAATCTAGAGATAATTTATTGATCAGTGATCACAGCTTGTACCCCAAAGCCGTGTATGTCTGGATCCTTCCCTAAGACCACAGATAGCTCCAGGGAGTCCCACCTCCTTGGCTATGGAAATATGCTCAGCCCTGGTTTCAGAGAAGCCTGGACTCCACTCTGGACCCCATGAGATGATATGCGCTGGTACTCCAGGCTTTAAATGGCCTGGGAAGCCTCAGTGGATTTTGTTTATTTTCAGCATTGCCATGTATGCTTAACTCTGAGTTGGGGTGGGGTAGGTCTGTTTAAAATGCCAGGGAAGGTGGGCAGCAGAGTGGATTTGTGCAAGAAGGAACCTGGGGGGTTTAAGGACAGCAAAATGATCTTAGGCGTAATTGACTGGTTTTTCTGAGGTCTTGCCACACTGGGCAAGAAAATGCTGCATCGGGCCCTTATTCCAGAGAGTGCAGAGCTGGGGCCAAGGTCGTGGTCAAAAAGGAAAGGAGCCCTCATGGACTCCAGGGTCAGAAGTTCCCTCGGGAAACCAGCAGGAGGTGGGAAAAGAGCCCCATTAGGGCAGTAGATGGAGCAACAGCACTGAGTGAGATTTCAGGGGGCCACAGCAATGGGGAGGTGGCTACCAGTGGATATGGGGTCCCCTGCTCCAGGTGCTTAGGCCAGGCATCCCGTCCCCCCATTGAGAGTCCTGGAATTCCAAAGAAGTGAAGCATCTGAGGGTTGGGGCTGGGGGCAGATGTCAGGGCTCAGGGTCTTAGCAGGAGGCGTGTTCCTGGCCACTTGAGCCACAGGAAGGGGACCAGGCGCCGGGTGAAGGTGGCAGTGAAGGTGTAGATGAGTTCCTGTGACTCTGCGTTGGTGAAAGTCACGGTGCCCCCTTCATAATCCAGGGCGATGCCCACTCTCCGGGGCCGCAGTGCTGGGAAAAGCTCAGCCTCGGGGCTGGTGTTGGCCCAGATGCCGGAGGAGGAGAGGCGCAGCGCCCACACGCCATCCTCTGGCCGCAGGGAGAGGTCTCCCTTCCTCTTCACAGAGTCTCTAGCCACCCCCACCATGCAGCTTTCCAGAACTTCCTCCTCTTCCTCCTCCTCTTCTTCCTCTTCATCGCCCAACGATTCCTCATCTTCGTCCGTTTCCCAGTCGTCATATCCATCCCCATAGCCGGCCTCCTCTTCCTCCTCCTCCTCTTCTCCCTCTTCCTCCTCATCCCCCTCTTCTTCATCCTCAGACCAGCCCTCCCTCTCCACTTCCACTTCCCAGTAGACCTTGCCCCAGGTGAAGCCCTTGCTGCCCAGCACCCCAGGCTCACAGTCAAACTGCTGGGGGTGCAGGTAGGCACTCTTGTACAGGCTGGTGTAGGTCACGCACTTCCAGTCCTCTGACAGCTGCAGGTACCCACTGGCCGACTGTGGGTCCAGGGTGACGCTCACTGTGGGGACAAGGGAAAAAAAAAAAAAAACAGCATCACTGTTTTGTTTTGTTTTTTAAGTCAGAGGGAATAAAATTTATTTTGGCAGATAGCGTTAAACAAAATTAAAGTTGCATACATTAGTAATATAACTCAACATCCTTAATTTGGTATAAGTGTGACACATTTTCTGGCTTTGTATTCTGCTAAATCACCATAACTAAACTGCTTTATAAACATGATATACTGAAATTTAACTTGACTGTTTTCGCTTACGCTCTGATTCCAAACAAAACTTTTCATAAGCTTCCTCTATCTCTGGATCTCTGGGTCCAACTCATCATTAATATCATCCAAGTGTGGATCACCAGTCCCTGAAAAATCTGTTCCATTTTCTTCATAATCCAGAAAAAAAGTCCTCTTTTTCAAGTAACTCTTGATATGCTTCTTGGTAATCCGGATCAGCTGCAGTGAAAGGAACACTATGAAACACAATAACTATGTGAATGACCACTATAAAATGTTGGTTCATTCACATAGTAATTGGGATCTTTTTTGGCTGTTGTATTTCTGTATGATGAAGTTGCATGGACTCTACCCCAATTACTGCACTGGAGTTCTACAAGCTTCAAGAGCATCTGTTTCATGTCTCTGCCACAGCTTGCATCTATAACAACATTTTCAATTTCCTGAATAATTTCTTCCATATCAGTCCTTCCTTTTCCTTCCAAGCATCTTCCAAAACTGACCCTGTCAACTTCAGCAATTTTATTGCACAAATTAAGCTGTCATCCATGGGATTAGAAAAGAGGGCATTCGGGCATTCGGCAACTCCTGAAGACCAACCTGAAGAATATCTGCCCTTGTAACCTGTCCATTTGTTCCTCTGATCTCCAGGTTATGATAAAGCTCTCCCAGAAAGGGTACAAATGCATGAAATTGTTTTGGAGTAACTTCATCCCCTTTTGCAGCTTGATCTTTAATGTCATATTCAGTCCGATATCTTTGAAGTAGAAATTGGCGGAAGGTGCTACTCTCTGTGCTAACTGTCAGATGATGTCAGGTAATTACACAGGTGAGCTCCCATGTAAGAGAAATTTGGGGCTGGGCACGGTGGCTCACGCCTATAATCCCAGCACTTTGGAAGGCCGAGGCGGGTGGATCACAAGGTCAGGAGATCGAGACCATCCTGGCTAACATGGTGAAACCCCATCTCTACTAAAAATACAAAAATTAGCCGGGCATGGTGGTGGGCACCTGTAGTCCCAGCTACTTAGGAGGCTGAGGCAGGAGAATGGCGTGAACCTGGGAGGCGGGGCTCGCAGTGAGCTGAGATCACACCACTACACTCCAGCCTGGAAGACAAAGCAAGACTCCATCTCAAAAAAAAAAAAAAAAAAAAGGCCGGGCGCGGTGGCTCACGCCTGTAATCCCAGCACTTTGGGAGGCCGAGGCGGGTGGATCACGAGGTCAGGAGATCGAGACCATCCTGGCTAACACGGTGAAACCCCGTCTCTACTAAAAATACAAAAAATTAGCCGGGCGAGGTGGCGGGCGCCTGTAGTCCTAGCTACTCGGGAGGCTGAGGCAGGAGAATGGCGTGAACCCCAGGAGGCGGAGCCTGCAGTGAGCCGAGATTGCGCCACTGCACTCCAGCCTGGGCGACAGCGAGACTCCGTATCAAAAAAAAAAAAAGAAAAGAAATTTGGGACAGATGTGGCCTCTGAGTTCCACAAGTTCTTGCAAAGCATCATCTGTTGTAACACAAGCATTCAGGGTCTCTGTAAACTGTTCAATTTCAGTTTCAAAACTACCAGCCTGCTCTGTAAGATGGTTCAAGAAACCCTGAACAGGTACTGACAGAGTGGGATAATCCTCACCATCATCCTCATAGGATTCTCTATAATTAGAATAACCTGATAGGTAAAATTTGACGGTATTCACAGACAGCTCAGACATTAATAAAGAAGCTACAACCACCTAAGGTTTAACCACTGCTAACTCAGTTCTGCTATGGGATTTTATCCTGTGAACTAGATGAAGCTCTCAGGGCCTCGTTTGCTCCCAGACAGGCCGACCTCCTCAATGGTTCTCACGAAAGCAAGTGTGAAAGTGAGCCAGGAGGAGACCACCAGTCTTCACAATCCAAGGGGCACCATTCACATCTTGGTCTATGAGGATGGCGCTCCTTGGTGGTTGGTATGCAGTGTACAACCTAACTGCAGGGCTGAGAGGGGGCACAATAGTGGGGCCTGTGGTGGATATGGCCTCTGGTCTTAGGTTGCCCCTGCTGTTTGCTCTGAATATAGGAGCCATGCAGCCAGGAAGATGAGAGAAAGCTCGGCCACAGGAAAAGGACTGGTGGTAGGACCTGTGAGGATAGGAAAAAGAAAAGCAAACACAGGGCAGAGAAGGATCAGACTAGCAAGCAGAGGCCTCTACTGCAGACTAAAGAGTAGGCTGATTAGAAAGTGCAAAGAGGGAGGGGGGCTTCTATTGTGCAGCTGGGAAATTCTTCCTGTTGCAAAAGGGGCTACCTGGGGGAAAAGTGAGCAGTCAGAATCTCTGCAGGCGGAGTTTTCTATATTTGATGTACATCTGGGAAACACCCTCTAGACACTCACCTGTCTTATATTCCAAGTCTCTCAGCAGCTTCCCTGGGGAGAAAAAAGGACAGCAATGACTCAAGTCCCGAAAATTTATGAGCCCATTTCTTGCTCGGGCAGTATCAATTTCCTGATAGGGATCCATGTCTAAGACAAGAGGCCCTCAGAAGAGTGAGGATCGACAAGGTGATGGAAAGGAGCTGGGTGCGCTCTTTCTACGAGGTAGCCCTGCTCTGACTCCCACCCTTTGTGCGCTCCCCAACCCTTACCCTGGAATTCCCTCAGGCCTCGTTGCAGAGAGAGGAGTTTATCTGAGAATTCTCCGGTCTTTTTTTTAACCACTCGAGCAATGGGTTTCCCAACCCAGAACTTCTTCCGTGGATACCTAAGAAGATGACATACATAACAAGCTGTTACTCAGCTCTTCTTACTTTCCTTCATACTTATCTCTCAATCCTCATGGCAATTATGAAGGGGAGAGGAAAGGTATGATTATCCCCAAACAAGTGACAGAAAAACAGTGGCCCAAAGACACCAGCTGAACCAGGGCTTCAGAACATCAGTAGACTCCACATCCAGGGCGCTCTGTCTACTAAGCCATGTTTCTAACCTCTCTGCTCTGTCCCACCTCAAATAAGGCCAGTGGGCCAAGGAGCTGGGGCTACACAGAGAACTCATAAGGAGGAGAGCAAGTCTCCAGTTCTCAATGATGTGTCCTGCTCCTCAGAAAGGCATCAGGATGAACCATGGGATGTGAGTACCTCTGGCACCATACCACTCCCCATGAATTCAAATGCACCTGGTCAGAAGCGGGGGAACATAAACAAGGGGGATGAGGTACGCCATGGAGAGGAGACTCTTTTACCTGTTTAGGAAGTCTCTCGTGTCCTAGAAGGGAAAGAAAAAAGCACAAGTATCAATATGAATCAAATAAGACTTCAATGCATCTGCACCCAACACTGTAGCAGAGATGGGACATATCAGTGAACAAAACAAATGTGGTCCCTTTTTTATGGAGCTGACATTCCAGTGGGGTCACTGCATAAAACAACAAGAAAACAAACAAAATCGGCACAATGACAGAAGCCACAATGGCTGGGAGATGACATGGGCAACCTCTCTGGGAGATACCTGCGCAGAGAATTGACGGATAAGAAGTACTGGCCGGATGAAGAGAGGTAAGGTAAAACAGGAAAGGGCTTGGTGAGAACGGCAGAGGCCAGACTGCGCAGGGCTGGATATGCATGGTAAGGAGTTTCACTTTTGCTCCACGTACAGTGGAAACCCACCAAGGGTTTCAAGTAGGGGCATGATATGTGTGATCCGCTCTACATGTGGCTGAGACTGCTGTGTAACCTCCAGAGTCCACTCTCCCCTTCCTCCTTTTAATAATAGAACCCCCGGAGTTATTGCTGGTCAGGCGGCCACCTGGGAAGACTACATTTTCCAGATCCCCTACGACAAGGTCTGGTCATGAGACTAAGTTCCAGCCAATGGAATGTGATAGAAAGCAATGACCATAATTCTGGGCATTGTCCTTTAAAAAAAGAAAATTGCTTTCTACTTCCTTTTTACCCCAACTGAATTTTGGACATGGTGGTGGTGAGCCCAACTTTGACCACGCAGCAGAGGACAACATCCCTAGAAGCTGGTGGAAGAACCACATGGAAGTAACCCAGTCCCTTGGATAAGCTTATGTACAGCTACTGTGATAGCTCTAGACCCTGCACCTCTGAACTGTTAACTGAGGCAGAAATAAACTTCTATTCTGTTTGCGTCACTGTACAGCAGTGAGCCAAAACCCTAAGTGACCACTCACTTGGCTGCCCCACAGAGAAGGGACTAAGGAGGCAAGAGGAACATGGGGAGGTTGGTCCGGAGGCTTTTGCCGTGGACCAGGGGAGAGCTAAAGATGGCCTGAACTAAGGTGGTGGCAGTAGGGAGAAAAAGAGAGAAGCAATACATTCCAGGTATTTTAGAGACAGATTCAACTGGACATACTGGTCAAGGATAAACAAGAACAGAGCATGGTTTGTACAGGGGGGAGAATGGTGGTGCTATCTCTGTGACAGACAGGTGGTAGGGCAGGGTGAGTGGGAAGAGGGCTATTCTGAGATGCTCAGATTCCCTTTTGTGAGTCAAAAGCCTCCTTAATACCCTGTATTAATTGATTTTTGCCTTCCTTTCACTCATTCCACAAATATTTATTAAGTGCTTCCTAGGTACCAGGCACTCATCTAGAAGCCTCAGAACAGTTAAAAAAAAAAAAAAAAAGAGAGAGAGAGACAAATCCCTACTTCTGTAGAGCTGACATTCTAGCAGGGGGAAGCAGACAATAATCAATGTAGCAAATACATCATACTACGTGAGTGATAACGCACCACGGGAAAAGAGAGCAGAGTGAAGGGGGATGGGAGCAGGGGCCGGTGGGGTGCAGGCTGGCTTCCTGGAGAGGGTGAGATTTGGGAAACAAATGGAATTAACAAATTGTGGCTGCTGATGACTGCTTCCAAAAGTTTGGGAAGAGTTGTGAGCTTTACTCCAGAGGAATAAGACAAGAAGTCAGAGGCACATCCCAACCCCCCGCTATGAAGCAAGTGCCCAGAGACTGGTAGCACATTTCTGGCCAAGTCCTCTAACATGCCCCTCAAAACATGTAAGTCCAAGGCGGCTTCAGAGGACAGGCAACAAAACAGACAGTGTGTCCTGACAGCTCTGCTGACAAAGGTGGCATAAAAGAGCAAATGAATGGAGCAGTAGCTGGAGTGTGGGCCAGAGGCCCATTTGGGCATATTTCCTGACATGGAAGTTCCTAGAACAGTAGAAAGGGAGAGAATCATACAGGAGAAAGAAGAGTCCTCTAAAGGTTAAAGGTTGTGAGCAGCCCAGAGAGGGTGGGTCCCGAGAGCCAGGGCAGGGCTGGCCCTGCGGAGAAGAGGCTGAAAGACTCAGGAGCCCCCATCCACAGCCACATACAGGGCCTCTGGAGGGAAGTGATCCGCCCAAGTCTCCTGGAGGACTCTTCTCACCCAAGACATCTGAAGCTGTCATGAAACAGGCAGAGCCGAGCAGTGGGGCTGCGGCAATGAGTCATGGCAAGCTCCCGGAGGGGATGTGCCCGGTTACTAACAGAGAGCATCAAGAAAGTTCTTCACGGGGGTGTACAGCAGGAGAAGCAGGGTACAAGCATGCCACCTGATCCTGCAGGGCCTGCCCGGGTTACCAGGGCAGGATGCAGTGTCTCTCTGGGCCTCTCCTGTCACCCCAATCCCTTTAATGTCTTCTTGATGCTCCCAGCCCATAGGTTTGTCTTTCCTTTCCTATCACCTCTATCAAAAGGTCTCTTCTATTTTACACATTTTGTCCTGCTGCTTCTCCCTCTCACCTGTATTTCTATTTTATTTTAATTTTTTTGAGACAGGATCTCACTATGTTGCCCAGGCTGGTCTCAAACTCCTGGGTTCAAGCAATCTGCCTGCCTCAGCCTCCCAAAGTGCTGGAATTATAGGTGTGAATCACCACACCAGCCTCACCTGTATTTCTCTATCAGACTTCTGGACCCTATTTTAGGTCTTTTTCTTACTATACTTTGACAGCCAAATAATCTCTGGGAAAATATTAATGCTAATTAGGGAGGTAGCTGTCCAGTTCCCACGCAGTACAATCAAACTCAAATAAGCACACAGACAAAATCTACCAATACCATTTTTCTGCGTATGGTTGGTTACCCAGTTTTCCTAGCACCATTTATTAAAGAGACTGTCCCTTCCCCATTGTATGTTCTTGGTTCCTTTGTTGAAAATCAGTTGGCTGTAAATATGTGAATTTATTTCTGAGTTCTCTACTCTGTTCCATTGGTCTATGTGTCTGCTTTTATATCAATACATGCTGTTTTGGTTACTACAGCTTTGTAGTATATATATATATGTATATATACATATATATGTATATATATACATATATATGTGTGTATATATATATGTGTGTGTGTGTGTGTGTGTATATATATATATATATATATATATATATATTTTTTTTTTTTTTTTTCTTTTTTTTAATGGAGTCTCACTCTATTGCCCAGGCTGGAATGCAGTGGCACAATCTCGGCTCACTGCAACCTCTGCCTCCTGGATTCAAGTGATTCTCCTGCCTCAGCCTCCCGAGTAGCTGGGATTATAGGTGCGCACCATCACGCCCAGCTAATTTTTGTATTTTTAGTAGAGATGGGGTTTCACCATGTTGGTCAGGCTGGTCTCAAACTCCTGACCTCGTGATCCGCCTGCCTCGGCCTCACAAAGTGCTGGGATTACAGGTGTGAGCCACCACAACTGGCTGTAGTATATTTTGAAGTAAGATAGTGTGAGGCCTCCAGTTTTGTTCTTTTTGCTTAGGATTGCTTTGGCCATTTGGGGTTTTTTGTGACTCCATATGAATTTTAGTTTTTTTTCTATTTTTCTGAAGAATGTCATTCGTATTTTGATAACAGGGATTGTATTAAATCTGTAGACTGCTTTGGGTAGGACAGTCATTTTAACAATATTAATTCTAATCCACAAGCATGGAATATTTTTCCATTTGTTTGTGTCTTCTTCAATTTCTTTCATCAGTGTTTTGTAGTTTTCATTAAAGAGGTCTTTCACCTCCTTGGTTAACTTCATTCCCAGGTATTTTATTTTACTTTTGTAGCTATTGTAAATGGGGTTGCTTTCTTGATGTCTTTTTTAGCTAGTTTGTTATTGGTGTATTAAAAATGCAGTAGACTTTTTATGTTGATTTTGTATCCTGCAACTTTACTGAATTTGTTTATTAGTTCTAAGGGTTTTTTGGTGGGGCCTTTAGGTTTTTCTACATATAAGTATAGCCGTTACGGAAAACAGTATGAGAGTTTCTCAAAAAACTAAAAATAGAACTACCATATGATCCAGCAATCTCATTACTAGGTATTTATCCAAAGAAAAGAAAATCAGTATATCAAAGGGATACCTGCACACTCATGTTTATTGTGGCACTATTCACAATAGTTGAGATGTGGACTCAATCTAAGCATCCATCAACAGATAGATAAAGAAAATGTAGCATATATACACAATGGAGTACTATTCATCCATAATAAATTTGAGTTCATGGAAGTAAGACAGTAGAATAGTAATGATTAGAGGTTGGGAAGGGGGCTGGGGAGAGGAGGGTGGGGAGAAGTTGGTTAACAGATACAAAGTTATAGCTACATGGGAAGAATAAATTCTAGTGTTGTGCAGCATTGCAGGGAGAATATAATTAACTATAATTTACTATACATTTTCAAAAAGCTAGAAGAGAGGATTTTGAATGTTCCAACACAAAGAAATGATAAGTGTTTGAGGTGACAGATATACTAATTACTCTGAGTTGATTATTATATATTATATACTTGTATCAAAGTATCACTCTAGGCCAGGCACAGTGGCTCACGCCTGTAATCCCAGCACTGTGGGAGGCTGAGGCAGGCGATCACCTGAGGTCAGGAGTTCAAGACCAGCCTGGCCAACATGGTGAAACGCTGACTCTACCAAAAATACAGAAAATAGCCAGGTGTGGTGATGTGCGCCTGTAATCCCAGCTATTTGGGAGGCTGAGGCAGGAGAATCGCTTGAACCCAGGAGACAGAGGTTGCAGAGGCAGGAGAATTGCTTCAACCCAGGAGGCGGAGATTACAGTGAGCTGAGATCACGCCACTGCACTCCAGCCTGGGAGACAGAGCGAGACTCTGTCTCAAAAATAAACAAACAAAAACCTCTACATCCCATAAATATATACATTATATAGCACTAAAATTAAAAGAGAAAACACAAAACAAAAAAAGAAACCTACCAGTACCAATAACATTTCCTATACTAGTTTCAAGCTGACGCCATTTTCTCTCCCTTCCCTTGACCTTATCCCACCCCAGGGAGAGCTGCAATCTGAGTGCTCTGAGTCATTGAGGGCCAGGCTTCTGCTCTGAGGGCCACTTCTCTGGGTGCATTAGGAAAAGGCACCCCTCCGGGCAAACACAATGGATTTCAGCCCCACCACATCCTCAGCTGTGTGCCTCTGTTCCACACAGTAGGCATTCACACATGGCAGGGGCGTGAGGAGAGGAAGGAGAAGAGAAACGGGCAAAAGGAGATGCAGAAAATGACCCAGTCAAAGAGTATGACGAGAGAAATCTGAGAGAACAGAATGACATCTGGAGGAAAAGAGGGGGCCAGAGAGACATTCTGGACAAAATAAGAACAAGAGCTCAGAGCCCAGGAGTCAGGACATCTGGGCTCAAGCTGTGACCTGACACCCACCCCATGGCCTGGGACAAACTCCTCCCACTCTCTGGACCTCAGTGACTTCATCAGTAGGGGCTGAACTGGAAGGTCTAAAATCCCTGCCAGTCCTCATTCTGTACATCTGAATTCACAACAATGAGGAGCAGGTGGCCGCCTCCTTCTGCAGTCTGTCCCAGTGCACATACTGCAGAGTCTGCCTTGCTATCTCTCCCTCCTAGCTATTGCCCTGCCATTAGCCTGGGACTCCACCTTCCTAGAGATCCTGGGTGGCTCTGCTGCTGACAGACAGACCCAGCCACCCTAAACAGTGCAAGTGGGGGAATACCATCAGAGAGCCCCTCCCCTCCCAGCCTATGAGAGCAGGAAGGTTGAGCCCTCTACCCCTCCAAAGGGGACTGGGCCCTCTTCAGGGTAAGTGTGATCCCCAGAGGCTCCCGGGGGGGAGGAGATGTGGTGCCATTTCAGCTTCACAGCCAGTTCTTCAGCCCCAAACCCTCCCTTTCTCACTATCAAAGCCCCCTCCTCTAGGAGGTGCCCCGAGGCCCCCTTGTCTGCTTTCCATCTTGTTCTCTGTGTGGTAATCCCATGGGCCAAAGAAAACCTGGCCATCTCTGTCTCCCTTCCCCAGTTACCCTATCTCTTCCAGATCCTCTGGGTCTTTGAGAGGAGCTGCTGGTCAGCCCTCCCTCAGCCACCCCCAACCACAACACCATAAAAAGCTTCCACCAGCTGCTAAGTGTCTGCCAATGACTTGTTAAGAGGGCTTGTGATGGCAGTGATGAGGATGGAGGATGGTAAATGATATTAATAATCTTCCCTTCCATTTTCTACTATACCATTTAGTTTTTTGAACAGTTTTGTGTAAAAAGTTTATTTTTTGAAGTGACAGCATGCCAGTTATTTCATTTTATGCTCATGCAATCTACAGACTAATTGGCAGCAGTAAGGATTATCATCTCCATGTTTCAGATGACAAAACTGAGCCCCCAAGTCTTCTAAGGTCCTGCAAGTGAATGGCAGGGCTGGGACCCACCGTCCTGGTCCCTGGCGCCCTGCCCAGGGACGGCCTCTCACCTGCATGAGCTCTGCAGCTGGCTGCTGCGCCTTGCCCTCCAGTTCGGAGATGACCAGGGCCAGCCGGGCAAGCTCCCCGACGCCCCGGCTCTTGAACTTCTCCCTGCCCTCCGTGAGCTCCTGCTCCAGCTTCGCCAGCTGTTCCAGCAGGTGTTCCTCCCGCTCCCTCAGGAACTGATGACCCTGCTCAAACTCAGCCACAATGTACTGCCTCTGGTCCTGGAGCTTCTTCTGCAGGGGGCAGGAAGGGGAGAAGGGCTGACACCTCTGCTCAGGGTGGAGGGCCCAGTGCTGGAGGTGTGCAAGGCTGGCTCGTTCACCTCGCTACCCCCGTTCAGGAATTCTACAGGATCTGGAGTGGGAGGAGCTACAGAGGGTTCCTGGTCCACACTCCGCTTCTCAAAGAAGACTCCAGTAATGAATTAGTTCAGTTCACCCCACCACTATATGGTCAAAACCCTGTCTCCACCTGACTGGTCAGCCACAATCTGTTCTAGCTAAACCAGTACGCTCTGGGGCCCCTAGAGAAACTCTGTGGGTCTCACTCATGAGCCGACGCACTTTTCCCTCCTGGACAAAATCTGTCACCTCTTCCAGGAAGTTTTGCTTGATTAATGTCATCTAAGCCTGACCAGCCCTCTCTTCAGCACCCCACTGTTCAGTCTAAAATATCTATATGTACCCCACCCCTGCCATGTAAGACTGCATCCTGTTTCCTCAGCAAAATTGTGTGACGTCTGTGCTTAGGGACTATGTCCTTTCCTGCCTCCAAATCTCCTCCCCAGCTGGGGTTGGGGGAGTCCTCAGTGGCCCTGTTGACTGGTGCTGAGCTGGGGGCAGCCATGCACACTGAGGGCCTGGAGGGGTCCTTGGACTTGGCTGTCTCTAGCTTACTGTTTCCCTCTCCCTAGGCCTAATGACTCACCACTGGCCCTGACCCCACTACTCCTCCACTGCCCACTTCCTCAACATACACAGTTCCCCAGAAAATCAGAACCATTTGATCAGTTCCCCCCAACCCCAACTCTAATCAAGTACATAATGTGCTGCCTGTTTTCTAACTACAGTTGTCCCTTGGTATCAGTGGGTGATGGGTTCCAGGATCTCCCTCCCCAAGGATACCAAAATCCAAGGATGCTCAAGTTCTTATGTAAAATGGAATAATAGTTACATAAAATCTACTATATACTTTAAATTATCACTAGATTACTTATAATGCCTAATATAATGTAAATGCTATATAAATAGCTGTTACACTGAATTGTTTAGAGAATAATGACAAGAAAAAAAATCTGTACATGTTCAGTAGAGACGCTTTTTCTTTTTTCTGAATATTTCTGATCCATGGTTGGGTAAATTCGCCGCTACGGAACCCACAGATATGGAGGAGGTCCCACTGTACTGGCAACCATGATCCTGGGCCTGGACCTCACTACATACAGTGCCATCAGAATTGGCAGACCTGCCTTAGCTGTTTTCTAGCCCTTCCCTCTCAGTTCTTACCCTGGAGCCAGCTCCCTCCTTCTAAACCCTCTCCACTCTCAGGCAACCTTGTCTCTCTCTCTCTCTTTGAAAGGAAGAATGAAGCCACACCTTCTTCAGTCCCCTGGCAGAAGAGAACCAGCAGCTGGACATGGGCCCTGCCTTCAAGGTGACAGTCACAGAAAACGGAAGGGACTCTAGCTGACATCCAGGCAGCCCACTTGTCTCTCAGACAAGAAACAGGCCCAAGACTACACGGCTCAGAAAGACAGCACTTGGGCTAAAACCCAGGTCTGCTACTGCCAGGCTGACACCCATCCTCCCTGTGAGCAGCGCCTAGAAACACCTCCCAGCTGCCGCCTACTTGCCCAGGCTCACCCTGCCCTACACGGGCGCACCGCCTCAGGGCTTCCTGAAACAGCCTCACTTACCAGCGCGGCCAGGATATCAGCTTCTCCCTTTGCCTGGAAGCCCTGAATTTTGTCTCTGTCCCTCCTTAGGGTACTCAGGTGGTTCAGGATTTTTTCCTGTGGAAAAACAAGCAGTGGCAACAGGTGGATGCTCTGGGCTGGGGCAGGAAGGGAGACTCAGGCTGAGTCCTCTGAGGACTGCAAGGTGGAGCATCCAGAGAAGGTGGCAAGGCACCCTCGGGGGTGAAGAGGGCTTACCCTGTGGGGCTGGGCGGCCTTCTCCATGAGGACGGCCGTGTGGGGCCTGTGCTCCCGGGACTCCCGGCACATCACGCACAGCAGCTTCCCGTCGTCCTCACAGTAGTAGTGCAGCTTCTCTCGGTGTCGCTCGCACAACTTTGCATCCTGCTGCTCCCGGGTCACCTCTCCCGGCTGCCTGCCCTTGTCCACCTTCAGCCGCTCAATGTTCTCCACCAGGCTGGCCAGTTGCCACACGGGTCGGATGTTCTCCTTCTTAAAAGGCTTCTTGCAGAGTGGGCAGACGGGGCGGCTCCCTGAGATGGGGCGGACGTCTGTGGTGCAGCTGCGGCAGAAGACGTGGCCACAGTCAATGGTCACAGGGTCCCGCAGGTAATCAAGACAGATGGAGCAGGTCACCTCCTCTTCCAGGCTCCGTAGTGGGGCTGACGTGGCCATGGTATCCTTAGTTCAGAGAGGTCTCCGTTCACTGGTGAGGACTTCTTCTCCTTGGAGACGCGACATAGAGTCAGGAGCAAGCACAGTAAAGGGGCAAAGGTGGCAGCCTGCACAGGGCTGCCAGCTCCAGCACTCAGTCAATCGACAGACACCACCAGCTCCTACAAGGTTCACACAATGTCAACGAGAAGAGGACCTTATAGATCTAGTCCAACTTCCTCATTGTACAGATAAGGATATGGAAACCCAGAAAGATTAGCTTGGTAGAGTGAAGAGCAGGACAGCCACTAGCCTATACCTTGCTGTTGGGAGAGCCTCAACACCCTTTCCTTCTATCTGTTGGAAAATCGCTGTAATGCACCAACTGTAATAAAAAATCTCTCACTACCTGCTGGGAAACTCATAATGATACATATATAAATCTACAATGTCTACTGTGGACACAGTGCTCCTTCACTCAACTGTGCAAAGCACAAGACACACGAGCAGTCATGGGGGTCCTGACAGAGTCAAGAGACCGCCCGTTTTTTTTTTTTGGTTTTTTTTTTTTTGAGATGGAGTCTTACTCTGTCGCCCAGGCTGGAGTGCAGTGGCGCGATCTCAGCTCACTGCAACCTCCGCCTCCCAGGTTCACACCATTCTCCTGCCTCAGCCTCCCGAGTAGCTGGGACTACAGGCACCCACCACCACACCTGGCTAATTTTTTGTATTTTTAGTAGAGACGGGGTTTCACCGTGTTAGCCAGGATGGTCTTGATCTCCCGACCTCGTGATCCACCTGCCTCGGCCTCCCAAAGTGCTGGGATTACAGGCGTGAGCCACTGCACCTGGCCAAGAGACCCCTTTTGTTTGCTCCTCAAGGTTTCAGGTTTCAAGAACTAAGAGAGGGCAATGTGACATGGCTCACCCTGTAAATCCAACACTTTGGGTGGCTGAGGCAGGAGGATCACTTGAACCGAGGAGTTTGAAACCAGCCTCAGCAACATAGTGAGACCCTGTCTCAACTAAAAAAATTTAAAAATTTTTTAAAATACCCCAGTGTAGTAGCATGCATCTGTAGTCTCAGCTACTGAGGAGGCTGTGGCAGAAGGATTACTTGAATCTGGGAGGTGGAGGCTACAGTGAGCCATGATTGTACTACTACACTCCAGACTGGGCAACAGAATAAGAGACTGTCTCAAAACAAACAAAAAACCAGAAAACATTAAAAAACAAACAAACAAACAGCACTGAGGTTCTTTACCAAAACTCGAGAAGCATCAGGAAGCTTCAGGAGTCTGACTGTCAGCATTTCCCTTTGTGAGTATTTCCCTGGGCTGTTCTATAGTTTGGGTTTAATTTGCTTCCCCTAGAAGGCTGGACTCTAAACACAGCCCTCCAGAGGAGCACAGCTTAGCCTCAGTGGACTTGTTCTTGGCTGTAACTGCCTCGTCTAGATGGCAGGAATCCTCAGGTGGCTGTGGCTGCTATGTGCTGTGAGGCCTTGGCTTGTACAGGGAGCGGGGACACACAGAAAGGACTCTGCTTCTGTTTACCTTTGTAGTCCTGACCCAGTTCCAGGCTGAGGTTATGAGCCTCAGCACATCTAACCCAAGAGCAGCCTCCTGCCCCTGACTCTGTGTGACAATACAGAAGTCACTTAAGTACTGAGCCTCAGTGTATCCATCTGTAAAATGGGAAGAGTGATACTTACCTTTAAGGGTTTCTAAGCAGGTCATGTGAAAGAATTATGGGAAAAGTGCTAAGCACAAGCCTGGTACACAGACGGAAATCTAGGAGAGAACCCACAACCCCTGGTTTCCAAATCCAGTGAGTGTCCAAACCACAAACAAAGAGTTAAATTCAAAAGTGGCAGCAAAAGAGGAAGTGAGCAGAACCAGCCACAGTGACACACGTGCTACAGAGTTCAACAACATCGTCACAGGGCAGTACCTGGAGGACTTGCTCTCCTATAGATCCATGGAAGGCAACTACAGCAGCGCTGGGAAGACAACCAGCAGGGCACAGAGGTGACTGCGAGGCTGGAATGAAGCAACCTGAATTACAGGCAAATCAATACTATTAATGATTATGTATGGTGAAAGTCCATCACAACAGAGTTCAGTGGCCTCTGTCAGTAGTGACATTAATGGGACAGAAATAAAACCCCCAGTCTATAAGACCCAAGAGTAAACAAAACAGGGATATAACGTCCACTCATTGAGGGTCTAGTACAATAATACATAAAAAGTGTTTTATAACGTAAAAGGACTACATAAATATAAGAGATTCTTATAGTGCTGATAATAAATTCCAACTGGAAGCACTAATGGATCTAGGTATGTGTGACTTTAAGAGACATAATGAGGGGAAAATCAAGCACCTTCAAAGCTCAAATGAAGGATTCAAGGAATTTAACTGTCAAGTGAAAGTAATATCAAGTTCCTACATGTTAGTAATGCTGGTAGAAATGCTAGGAATTGGCCGGGCACGGTGGCTCACACCTGTAATCCCAACACTTTGGGAGGCCGAGGCAGGTGAATCACAATGTCAGGAGATTGAGACCATCCTGGCTAACACGGTGAAACCCCATCTCTACTAAAAATACAAAAATTATCCAGGTGTGGTAGCATGCACCTGTAGTCCCAGCTACTCAGGAGGCTGAGGCAGGAGAATCAATCACCTCAACCCGGGAGGCAGAGGTTGCAGTGAGCCGAGATCGTGCCATTGCACTCCAGCCTGGGTGACAGAGTGAGACTCCATCTCAAAAAAAAAAAAAGAAAGAAATGCTAGGAATTGCCTGGTCCAACTCCTTGGCTTTACTGTTGAGGAAATAAGCCTGGCTCAGCAGTTTTTCAGTTGTAACATACTGCAAGTGTTTGGAAAGAGGAAAAAGGAGTGGTACTGGGCGTGTCTGTGGGCTTTCAAGCCCTTTATCATGCCTCTTTGCCAAATGGCCTAGAAGTTTAAAAGCTGAGGTTTTTCTTTGTTGAAGGATAGCCTGTGTTATCTTTGGGTTGGGAACTTATTTTGCAATTTACTTGCAAAATAAGAACAATAAAAGGACTATGAAGAGCTCAGCTACAGCTCTTCTTCCATGCAAAACAGGACACCTCATCACCCAGGCTCCATGCTGGGGTTTGATGGTCTCTAAACCTCCTGAAACTGTCTAAAAATTATTGCATATGTACTAGATACCTAAAATTGTCTGGGGATTACAGAAGAATAACCTTCTGTAAGATTAATCAGCAAATAAGTAGAAGAGGGATAACAGAATTAGAAAATCATTTTGCGACTGCCATTATAATAGCACAAGGATCATCAATAGATGCTAAAACTATTAGGTGAAAAGTTTTGGGGGATGAGATAGTACCCATGGTGCCAAAGCACCAATGAATGGATTACTTCCTGACATACCTTCATAAGGAAGAGATCCAGTGGTTATCTTAACTAAGTGACCAAATCCAGCGTCATCAGCAGACGGGGCAAAGTGGCATGTGCTTTCTGGCATGGCACTATATGAATCACACAACATTACCTATGAAGTGTTTGTGCCAAAAATGTTTGACTTGAATGAATCTAGTCAAGACTTTAGATCTAACTTCCAGTTTATAAAAAATATAAAGGAAAGGAATACTCTGAAGTATGTTATAACTGAAAAAGTACCGATGGAGGAATTAAACCACACCATAAGGAAAGAACCAGATAAATCCAGAATGCTGGACATTGCACATGGCAACTGGCCTAGTCTTTTAAAAAGTCAATGTCATAAAAAAAAACCTTCGAAAGAACTGCTTTTGATTTTTACAGACTAAAGAGAAATAATAACCAAATGCAATACGTGAACCTTGATTGGATCCTGTAAAAAGAAAAAAAAGGTTATAAAAATAGTCTTGGAACTATTGTGGGAAATTTGTAAGTAGGCTGGGTGTTAGATCATATTAAAAAATTATTTCCTCTCTTTCTTTTTTTTTTTTTTTTTTTTGAGACAGGGTCTTACTCTGTCCCCCAGAGTGCAGTGGAACTATCTGGGCTCACTGCAACCTCGGCCTCCCTGGCTCAAGCAATCTTCTCATCTCAGGCTCCCGAGTTGCTGCAACAACAGGTGCATACTACCACACTTGGCTAATTTTTAAAGGTTTTTGTAGAGAAGAGTTGCCACTATATTGCCCAGGCTGGTCTCAAACTCCTAGGCTCAAGCCATCCTCCCACCTCAGCCTCCCAAAGTGCTGGGATTATAGGCATGAGCAACTGCACCATGTCTAAAATTATTTTCTTAATGGTATTTACTGAGGTTATGTATGAGAATGCCTATACTTCTTATTTATTTATTAATATATTTATTTATTTTTGAGATGGAGTTTTTCTCTTGTTGCCCAGGCTGGAGTGCAATGGCGCAATCTGGCTCACTACAACCTTCGCTTGCCAGGTTCAAGCGATTCTCCTGCCTCAGCCTCCCTAGTAGCTGGGATTACAGGTGCCCACCACCACATCCGGCTAATTTTTTGTAGTTTTAGTAGAGACGGGGTTTCACCAGGTTGGCCAGGCTGGTCTCAAACTCCTGACCTCAGGTGATCCACCTGCCTTGGCTTCCCAAAGTGCTGGGATTACAGGTGTGAGCCACCGCGCCCGGCTGAGAATACCTGTATTTCTAGGCAATGGATGCTGTAGTATTTAGAGCTCCATGTCTCCCACCTAATTTGAAATGGTTCCTTTCTTTTTTTTTTTTTTTGAGACAGGGTCTTACTCTGTCCCCCGAGTGCAGTGGAACTATCTTGGCTCACTGCAAAGCAAAATAAAAAGCTAGAAAAGTTTTCTGGGGAGGGAGCTACAGTTTTCTATCACATTCTTAAAGAGGTCTGTAGTAACCATCAAAAATGGTTAAATCACTGATACAGAGATCATGGTGCTTGACACCTTGTAGAAGCTCAATACACATTTACTGAACAAGTGAATGGATTCAGGGGAATTGCAGACAATGTTAGTTGTATAGAACCATTTGTTTTTGAGAGTCTGCCATAACTAGATAAATGAAACACAGTACCACTTCTATGACCAATCCCTTCCCTTGCTTATACAGACTCCTTCTGAGGAAACTGAGGCTCAGCAGGGTTAAGCAACTTGCCCAAGAGCACATGGCTAGGAAGCAGTGTCTGGTGCCAAGGCCTCTGCTCAATCCACTACACTCTCTTCCCTACCCAGGCACACTGTAAAATGGGGTCTAATACCAGCTCCTTTGTTAGGAAGCTCAGATGAGGTCATCTACATGGAAGGGCTTTGTAAGCGGAGTAATGCTGACAAAAGAAAGGGGGCATATATTCTGCTGATACTGACCAAAAGCACCCTAGCCTTAGCTATGACAAACTTTCACATATGGGGTGAGCAATAAAGTGTCCCTGTTGGACAGTAGTTTTCCTTCTTAGTGATAGAGGATCTCAAGATTTCAGAATTAGGAGAAATGAGGTTGAGTATGAGAGATGTGAGCAGACCAGAATAACCGCTCCCCTTCCCCATACACAATTCTGTCAGGTCCAATGCAAAATTCACCCTCTCCAAAAACTCTTCCCCAACTTACCGCACCCTGCTATGGTTCTGCCCTTTTATGCCGTCAGTATATTCTCTGTGATCTCAACAGGTTTCCACAATAAGAGGTAAAACCATTACCCTTCTCTCCATTCCTGACTCCTGGGCAGACAGAAACCAAAATCAGAGCCAAAAAAAAAAAACCTCAGAGATGACCCACTCCACCCCCACTCCCTTTACTCAGATGAGAATTCTGAACCTGAAGAAGTCACTTCATGAACTCCCTTGCACCAGAGGTCACACATCCCTGCTGGGGGTGAGGGGGTATTTTTCTGTCTCTTCAATAAACCAGAAGCGGCCGGGCGCGGTGGCTTCTGCCTGTAATCCTAGCACTCTGGGAGGCAGAGGCGGGTGGATCACCTGAGATCGGGAGTTTGAGACCAGCCTGACCAACAAGGAGAAACCCCATCTCTACTAACAATACAAAATTAGCCAGGTGTGGTGGCGCATGCCTATAATCCCAGCTACTGGGCAGGCTGAGGCAGGAGAATCGCTTGAACCCAGGAGGCGGAGGTTGCAGTGAGCTGAGATCACGCCAATTGCACTCCAGCCTGGGCAACAAGAGCAAAACTCCATCTCAAAAAATAAAAATGAAAAAATAAACCAGAAGCTAGCTGCAATTCTATAGAACCAGGAAGATGCAACAAACAAGCCCTGCAATGTCCTGGTACCCTCCTCACAGGCAGAACTGCAGACACTCCCTACCTTTCTCTAAGAGGTTCCCTTTTCCCTGAAATCCACCCCTCCCCTATAAGTCTCTGGATCTCATAAATACCTAATCTGCATATGTCAACAGACTGGTCAAGGTGACACCATGTAATTTCAAGATGTGGATGCATGCACGATTATTGGCTCCAAGAATAATCACTATGAGCTACAAAAACTAGCTGAAAGCCGGGCACGGGGGCTTGTGCCTGTAATTCCAGCACTGTGGGAGGCTAAGGCAGGAGGACTGCCTGAGCCCAGGAGTTTGAGACCAGCCTGGGTAATATAGTGAGACATTGTCTCCAAAAAAAGAAATTAGCTGAATTAGCTGGGTGCGATGGCACATGCCTATAGTTCCAGCTACTTAGGAAGTTGAGGCAGGAGGATCTCCCGAGCCCAAGAAGTTGAGGCTGCAGACAGCCATGACTGCGCCACTGCACTCCAGCCTGGGTGAAACTCTGGCCTGCCTCCGGCTCCTAGATGCCACCCAGAGAGGTGCCCTGGTAGACAGTGAATCCCAAATGTGGACTCTGGGGCCCAAGAAAGTAAATGGAGAGGCCTGGGTTTTCATCCTGGCCTCCAGGGTACCAGTTCAGGCCTCTCTTGAGTATCCCAAGCTGCTTCTCAAGCATATGTCTGGACCTCCAAACAAGAGCAAAGCACCTGTAATCCCAAAGCACTTAGCCTAGAGCTCCATTCCCTGTGGGTACTCCATTTAAGGGCTCCTGGGTCCCAGATTAATCCCCATATTTTAATCTGAGATAAGCAAACTCTCCATGGGGTAAACTTCCGTGAGACACCTCTAACAAACCTGGAGAGGCCAGAATTCGGGGCAAAAAGCAAGTGATCTGGATGTGCATACTAGGAGTGACTGCACCCCTACTGGCCAGGCCAAAGGCCTGGATCCCAGGCTGTCCCAGGAGATCCCAGTGACTGTGGATGATGCGTTCTTGTGGTCACACTTGGCTTACTTTCCCCACGGAGCCGAGCATCAGTGGTGCTCTGAAGCACAGTGCAGGCCACAAAAACTACCAGGGCTCTGAACGCTAGAAATCCCCACAGGGCTCAAAGAGGGGCAGGAGGTAGCAGCCAGCTGGGAGGTGGATGAGACAAGGCGTTAAATTGCCCTGGTCTTGTGGCTGACCCACAGGGGAAAATTGAGGGTTCTTCATATTTGTGCCAGAATATCTGTCTAATGTTGAATCATGAACCAAGCTCTCTTGTCTAAAATATTCCTAAGTGTCACTTGGTGCTTTGCACCAAATATAGGAAGGAATCCTTTATCATCTTGTGGAATGGTTCAAACCTTGACTACACATCAGATTTGTAGTCTTCAAACTGGTGAGTCTTCAAAACATACCTAGACCAACTGACTTAGGATCTCCAGAGGTGGCCCAGGCTCTGGTATTAAAAAACAAACTTCCCAGGAGATTCTAAAGTCTATCCAGGACTGTGAATCACTAGAACCCCTTATTTACAGAGGAGGACAGTGAGTGCCAGAGCCTCGGACTCATTTGCCCAGCAGCAGAGCTGGCTGGCAGCAAGGCCAGCACTAGCACGAGGTGGGGTGAGGTGCACCTCCCAGCTCTGGGCTCCTTCCATTCCACCATACACTGCACTTTGGTGCCTGGAAAATGAACTCTTCCCTGCCCATATGGAGTGCTGTGGAGGGTTAGCCTCACAGGCAGAGGAAATCATCCGCCGGAGAAAGGGTAGCGGTGAATTTGAGGAGCTGACAATTGGCCACAGGTGGAGTGCAGTGAGGCGAGCAGAGGAAGGGTGGAGAAACAGGAGGGAACAGATTATGCAAGACTGTGACCCAGGTTAAGAATTTTGGACTTTATCCTAACAGCCCTGGGAAGCCATTGAGGGTTTAAGCAGCAGGATGTTGAAAGTTATTCAACAGCTAGCAGATGTTTATTAGGTGCCGACTATGTGTCAGGCACCGAGGTTACAGCAGAGAACAAAAGTGGCAAACTCCCTGTCCTACCAGAACTTACATCCAGTGACCTGAGGAATCCTTTAGAAGCTGAAATCAGATCCAACTGTGGGATCATCAAACCCTCAAGGGTTTCCTGATTTACATAAACCTCCTCTCCCCTTTGCTGCCCCAGTGCTGCAGCCACTCTGGCCTTTTGATCCTCAAACACACTCGGTCACGTGTTAAACTGCCAATCTGCCCGGGTGACCAACCAGGTTAAACCCCTCAATGGCTTTCTGGTGCTCCAGGAATAAAGTCAAAACTCCTGTCCTTCCTTTCTTCTGTGAGGAGGCTGTCCCAGGAGATCCTAGCTGGATTCCCAGATAATCATGGCCCAGCCTGTGTCTCCAGGCTCATTTCCTGCCACTCCCCACCTCAAACTCACAGCCAAACCAAACCGCTCTCCATGCCTCAAAGTGCTATGCTCTTTCCTGGCTAAGCCCTTCGACAATGTAATTCCTTCTGCCTAGAACACCATCCCTTTCCCACTTAGCAAATGCCTTTTCTAGCTTGAAGTCTCAGCTGAAAGCCACCTCCTCTGGCAATTCTTTCCTGACCTGTCAGATTGGGTCCACATGTAGTCTAGTTATACAGCCCCAAAACACCCCATGCTGCACCCTGTACTTCTCTGCAGTTTTAAGTCCTGACTTATTAGTGTAATTACTCGCTTAACACCAGCTTTTTCCATGAAACAAGGAGAGAGATTGTGTCTGTCTTATCCCCAGAATCTACATATTACTTGGCACAGAGTAGACAATAAAAACTGACTGAGAAAACAAAGCACAAGCACAGAGTATCTGACACAAAGAAGATGCTTCCTACACATCTGCTGAAGGAATGCGAACAATCTTAGCCACCTGCCCTTTCTCTCCAGCAAGATGGTAGTAAATTGGTAGAGAGAGAAGCAATTTCTTCATATTCCCTGTAGCAGCAAGAACAGTGGGCTGCACGTCACCAGCAAATCATCGTATCCAAGGTTTCGCTCCAGCAACTTACAGAAACCAGGAGAAGAAAAAGCTGTGTCTGAGAAAATGGTTGTTGTGGAGTAAATTGTAATAGTGAGAATCACTCCTTCCCTTTTCTTTAGTTTTAGACCTAGGTATACACCCCATAAACAGAGTTTATTTTCTCAGGTTTTGAGCCTCAAATGAATGGAATTTTTTTCCTTTTTTTTTTTTTTTTGCATGTATTTGGGTGGGGGGCTGTCAACATGTTTGTGAGGCTCATCCATGTGATTATGAGCTGATTTTACTTAATTGCTGCTCTCTAACTATACAATTTTTAATGCAGTCTACTGATAGCCATATGAGTTGTTTCCAGTTTGGGACAATTACAAACACTGCTTCAGTGAATATTTCTGCATACATGTTCTAGCACACACAGGCAAGATGTACCCTCAATTTGACTAAGCAGGCCAAACTGTTTCCAAAGTGACTATAGTGCTATGTAGTCTGCTCAGCAGGCTATGAGCACTCATGATGCCCCACAGCCTCACCAACACCTGATAATATCAGCTTTAATTTTTGCCACTCTGGAGGATGGGATATAGAATATCTGTGTGTGTGTGTGTGTGTGTGTGTGTGTGTGTGTGTGTGTGTGTGTATTTAACTCCCCAAAAGGAAACAGCATGAGACAGGCCCAATAACAGGCCAAGGAATCCTATAGCAGCAGACCAGATATTGTGCTCCTCGACCCAACCAGTAAATGTTGTAAATGTTTATCTTTGGGGAGAGAAGGGGAAGGGCCCACCCAGCTTCTGTTCTTCTTTCCCTTGGTAACTTACCATCTATGAGTTAGTGAGATGGAGACATCCTAACCATTAATCCAGGGAAAGGGAGGAATCTAAGCCATCAGCAAGGGAGTTAGTGCTTTTCATCAAATTTGAGACACCTGTGACATCACATTTTAGCATCTCTGAAATGTGATCAATTGCATGTCATAATTTAACTGGCAAAATATTTTTTTGATGTGGAGCATAAAATAAGGGCACATAAAAGATTTGGTGGTGCTGTGGTTTGAACATGTCCCCCAAAAGTTCACGTGTTGGAAACGTAATTGCCAATGTAACGGTATTAAGAGGTGGGGTCTTTAAGACGTGACTGGGTCATGAGGGTGTAACTCTCATGAATGGATTAATGCCTTTCTTGCAAGAGTCCATTGGCCAGAACCGTGAGCTGAATAAACATCTGTTGTTTACAATTTACCCAGTCTGTGGTATTCTGTTACAGCAACAGAAAATGGATTAAGACAAATAGCATCTTAGATTTGGTGAGATGTGGCATATTTCCTAAAAAGTGCTGCCAGGATCATCCTTCTAGCACACAGGATCTCATCCTTGTTATTCTCCTGCTTCAAATCTCCTAGCTGAGGCTGGGTTTGGTGCCTCATGCCTATAATCCTAGCACTGTGGGAGGCTGAGGCAGGAGGATCCCTTGAATCCAGGGGTTCAAGACTAGCCTGGCCAACATAGGGAGAGACTGTCTCTAAAATAAAATAAATAAATAAAAATAAAAATAAAAATAAAAACAAACACACCAAAAAAACTCCTACTAGCTGAGGTCAAAACTGCACAGGTGGCCGGGCACGGTGCCTCACGCCTGTAATCCCAGCACTTTGGGAGGCCGAGGTGGGCAGATCATGAGGTCAAGAGATCGAGACCATCCTGGCCAACATGGTGAAACCCAGCCTCTACTAAAAATACAAAAATTAGCCGGGCATGGTGGCACGCGCCTGCAGTCCTAGCTACTCGGGAGGCTGAGGCAGGAGAATCGCTTGAACCCAGGAGGCGGACGTTGCAGTGAGCTGAGATCACGCCACTGCACTCCAGCCTGGGTGACAGAGCGAGACTCTGACTCAAAACAAAAAAAAAAACTGCACAGACATCCTCCCCTGCCCTGCATCCGGCTAGCCCCAACTTACCCATCCAGCCCCAAATCCCTCCTCGTCCTACCTAATTCTCTGGCCATTAGATACACTGAACCAGGAAGACAGCCCCTTCTTCACTCCCCACTCTCCACCCATTCCCTTGTACATGCTCTTCTCTCCAGTCCAGCGCATCCTTGAAGGCTTGAATACAATTTGTCCCCTTATCTGTGAGGTGTTTCCTGTACCCATCCCACCTCTGAGTTGAATGTATCCCTCCTCCTGCAGCTTTGCATATACTGTATTTCTACAATAGCACTATCACAGTGCTTCATACAGTAGCACCCCCCATCCGCTAAAGATACATTCATACAGGAGTCCCCTCAATCCTCAGGAGATGCATTCCAAAACCCCCAGTGGATGTCTGAAACCTGTTTCTCCTACACATACACACTTGTAATAAAGTTTATAAAGTAGGCACAGAAATAGATTAACAATAATAACACAACAGAATAACTATAACAATATACCGTAATAAAAGTTATATGCATGTGGTCTCTCTCTCTCTCAAACTATCTTGTACTGTACTTACCCTTCTTGTGATGAAGGAACAGTGGGAGGGCAAGAGATTTCATCATGCTACTCAGAACAATGCACATCTAAAACTTATGAATTGTTTACTTCTGGAATTTTCTGTTTACTGTCTTTGGGCTGAGGTTGACCATGGGTAACGGAAACCACGGAAAACTAAGCTATGGATAAGTGGCTGTAATTGATATTTTTATCTGTCTTCTCTCCCACCAGAATGTGAACCCAAAGGTCATGCCTCACTGACCTTTTTATCTCCAATATCTGGCACAAAGTAGGGGGTCTGCAAATGTTTGTGAAATGAATGACCTCCTCTAATTCCAGAGCCCTGCCATCTCCATTCTTCCCCCTTTCACTACACACCCCCCTTTCCCACATTAAAATTCTGCTTCAGCAGCAGGCTTCCAGGGCTCTCTTTAGATTAGACATTCTTGCCCACACACATTACCTAGATCTCTCTTGGCCTCCCTCCACACACACACAATTTTGGGGGGAAGAACAAAATTCCATTTCTATAAAGCTGGCAAAATCTAATTCATCCTGATGCCAGCCAATTTATGTTTTTGTCTTCTCAAACCAACTTCCCATTCTCCGTGTCTTTTCTATTCTGATCCTGGGGGGGTCCAAGTCTGAAGTCATTCCAAGAAGCCTCAATACAGACCATGGACTCTCTTCGGGGGTTTGCAGTGTCTTCTGTGGTGGTCACACACAATCTGAGTCCAACCTGTTACTCCCCTGCAGGAAGTGATATCTAAGAAGTCACCCACTGCCTTAGGCCTTCAGTCTCCTTACCTCTTAACAAGGGGAAAATATTTTGCCAAGTTTACCAGGCTATTTGAGGTTGAGGCAAAGTCACATAAGTACGAGTGTCTCATTAGCAAAAAGCTCTATAAAAATACTATGAAAGAGCACAGGAGCCAATGTGAAAAGAGCTCCCAACAGCCAAAGCCACAGTAATTTGAGCAACAAAATTAAGTAGTATTGGATTATAAACCAAAGTATAAAATAAATGTCCCTGAGTCTACACTGAAATTAATGATTGAATAAATTAATAAATTGGGGAGAAGAGAGAAACAAATCTTCCATGCAGAATAACTGCAAACAATAATATGTAGATACTTGCCCTCAAGAAGGGGGAATATAACTCTTGGCTCCCTAGGTATGGGCTGCACTTAGTGACTTCCTTCTAAAGAGGACAATACACGCAAAGAGTGGAAAAGAGACTAACTGTACAGTGGAGAAACCTGAAAAACACTATCTCACCCAAATCAATATTAAGTCATAAATCATGTTAGTACATGCCCTTGATACGATGGGATGATAATGGCAATCTACCTCTGTGGTCTTCCTCCCAGTTACCCATAAGCCCAGTCTTAGGAGAAAAACATCAAATTCCAATAGAGGGGCATCCTACAACATACACGACCAGTATTCTTCAATGCTGTCAAGGTCATCAAAACAAGTCTGAGAAACTCCCACAGCCAAGAGGAGCATAAGGAGACATGACAACTAAATGTAATGTGGTAACCTCCATGGGATCATGAAACAGAAAAAGTACTGAGGTAAAAACTAAGGAAATCTGAACACACTATGGACTTTGGTCAATAATAATGTATTGATATTGGTTAACTGCAACAAATGTACCACACTGAGGTAAGATGTTAATAACAGGGGACCCGGTTTGGAGCATGTGGGAAGTTTGTACTATCTTCTCAATTCTTCTGTAAATCTAAAAGTGTTGTAAGAAATAAAGTCTACTTAAACAATAAAATTGCAATTTTTGAAACATAAAAAGCCTATTTTTTTTAAAGGTGATTTTTTTGAACTTGGGGAAAAACATGTTAGGGATTATGATTTCAGCTAAGAGTTAAAAACAGGAGGTTAAGGCATGCATAAACGAATGTCATTCTCCCCTCTTTTGAAGTACACACAAATCGTGGGTCAAAATTTGAAATCTACTGGAGATTTGGAAGTGTGTCCCTCCCATTTACTCCACAGAGTTAAATTTACACTTTTTTTCTAAGGCCAAATAGGGAGAAAATCAGTAAGAAAAATGCTAATGAGCTGGAAGGAGTGAAAGCACAGCTCCAAGTATTTGTGGCTAAACCGGTTTACTCCGAACAAAAAAAAAAAAAGAAAGAAAGAGAAAGAAAGCATGACACTTTGGTCAGGGAGCTGGATTAGTCGCCTATCTACCAGGCTCCAAGCAACCGGACGGTCATCCAGGCCCCGCTTACTTCTGGTTCCGCAGACTAGAATGGATGGGAGTCTGAGTAGGATACCAGAAAGCGAGAAAGACCCAAGAGGAGGGGGAGAATGTAAGGACAAGCAAACAGGAGGGATCTGGCTGGCAGGGAGGACGCAGCGAACTTGACCCCCTCCTGAGCCCGCCCGGGGGCCTGGCCCCGTTTTGAACCCGGGCCCGGCGGCTGCGTTGGGTCGCCCCAAACCCGGTGAGCGTACGAGACTGTTGCTTCGCTGTATGTCTCATGTGCACCCCCTACTCACCGGTCCCGAGCTCCGGGCCGCGAATCCCGGCC